>NC_000006.12:3090303-3241818 GCF_000001405.40 Homo sapiens | reverse complement strand
ATAAGTGGGAGCTGAACGATGAGAACACATGGACACAGGGAGGGGAACATCACACGGGGCCTGTTGGGGTGGGGGGCAAGGGGAGGGAGAGCATTAAGACAAATACCTAATGCGGGGGGGTTAAAACCTAAGACGACGGGTTGACAGGTGCAGCAAACCACCATGGCACACGTATACTTATGTAATAAACCTGCATGTCCAGCACATGTATCCCAGAACTTACAGTAAAATAAAAATAAAAAATAATTTTTGGAGAAACTAGATAGATTCAAGAAATGGAGGAGGGAAGAGAAGGAAGGAGAGGCAAAGCAAAGAAAGAAAGTCAAGTAAGTGAGCACCCAGAGAACAAGCAGCAAGGTGAAGGAGCAACACCCATGTCCTAGAGACAGAAGATTTACAAAGTCTGTGACCACTTATTTTAAATATTTGAGAACCCGAACACTGGAAGATAATATTGGGGTTGGGAAACTGAGGCATGAAGTAACTTAAAATGAAAATATTTTGGCCGTGTGTGGTGGCTCACGCCTGTAATCCCAGCACTTTCGGAGGCCGAGGTGGGTGGATCACGAGGTCAGGAGACCGAGACCATCCTGGATAACACGGTGAAACCCCGTCTCTACTAAAAATACAAAAAAATTAGCCGGGCGCGGTGGCAGGTGCCTGCAGTCCCAGCTACTCCAGAGGCTGAGGCAGGAGAATGGCACGAACCCGGGAGGCAGAGCTTGCAGTGAGCTGAGATCAGCCACTGCACTCCAGCCTGGGTGAAAGAGCCAGACTCTGTCTCAAAAAAAAAAAAAAAGAAAATATTTCCCCCAAAATGACACTTATATATCAAAGAAAGAAAATGATTTAAGACAAAGGCAGGGTGGTGGTGGTGTGGAGGACATCAGATATCTGAAATCTGGAATGTGACAGTTACGGAGCTTGGACCTGTGAAGACAATGAGAATAAGATGAGGGCATCCAGGGCTTACCATCTGACACGAGGAGGTGCGATGTGATGAGCAAGGCCACACGTGGCAGCGGCCTATCCCATCTCTTCTCACAGCTCCCCAGTGTTGGGGGAAAGGAGGAAGCATGTTATTATTCTCGTTTACAGATGCGAGGCAGGGACAGGCTGGGCATTGTGTCCAAGGCCTCTTAGCTCAAGTCTGCAAAAGGCAGAGGAAGCAAATTTGGGTGGGCAACTCCTCTTCTGAGTGAATTAAGCTGCCTCCTGCTGCCTTCTAAAATCAAATTGCTGTTGTAAAAACAGTGACCTGCCAAGAGGGCCTGCCATCCAAACCTCCCCCTGGCTAACTTGACAATGGACCTGTAAGTTTGGGAAAATAAGTTCACCTTCGTCCTTCTGCGCAGTATTTCTGCAGTGGGATGACACGTGGAGGAGAGCCCGGGGGGTAAAATTCATTTTGTATTGAAGCTTCAGTTTTTCCTGGCTATAGCTATGGTATAAAGGAGAAATTTTGGGTGGTTGTTACAGGTGGCTAGCACTGTTTAGTTTGTGTTTTCCAACACAATTTGGCTTTTGATTTAGAGATCACCTTGGTGAGGATCCTACAATGACTAAAGACATGGGTTTTTAGGCTGAGAGTTTGTTTATTTGTTTGTTTGGTTTTTTCCCCCCAGTATCAGTTACTTACTTTCCTGTGCCAGGTAATCTACAATCATTCAGAGAGAGAAAGAGAGAACAAAAAGGGGCGACGAAGGGAAGTCAGGTCAGGGATGGAACAGTGTCATTATTGAAAGTGTCAGTGTGACTCAAATAACCTTGATGGCACTTGGTCTAATAAGCTGTCACAGACTTTTCATTACACTGTCATCAAAGTCATCTGCAGCCTTTAATTACTCAGTCTCACCACACTCTATTTAACAGAGAAAAGAGGAAGGTATGGAAAAGAGTGAAATTGGCATAAAAAATCCAATAAAGGGCAACGAGCAGGAAACAACAAAAACATGGGAAACTGCCGACCTGAGGAATCGCGCTCTTCTAACTTTACAGCTTCACCTGCCGTGTTTGCTCCTGGAGGACTGAGACTTTTGTCTGATTCGTCTGCTGCTGTCTTCCCGATGCCTAGAACACTGCCTGATGCACGGGAAGTATTTGTCAGATACATCCCATGGCTTCTAATGCCATTTGCAAGGATGAAAGCTGGGTGTGCCCGGCTGTACGGCAATACTTCCAAAGGCCTGTAGGACTCCCCAGTGACTGTCCCATTCACCAGGAGGAGGACTGCAGTCACCTGCATTGTCCTGGGAAGGTCAGCCAGGCCTTTTCCCAATGTCTGTCTGGGAAAAGCCCCGGTGTAGTCTGCTCGGTCCTACACCCAGAATCACGGGGGCTTCAGGAGCAGGCATTACGAGGCAAGGAGTAGCTTCTCCCCCTCACCTCCCACTCAGCAGAACGCACTAGCCCTGTGCTCTTCTGATCCTGAAGGCAGCTGAGTCTGAAAAGTTCCTGTACCTTTAAAGGTACTAGAGGCAGTGTGGTGCCCACTCAGGAACTGCATGATTTAAATAGGTTTCTAGGATAAAGGCAACTCGTAGCACAAAGGAACAAGTCCCAGGGAGTGGCATTCCAGATCATTTGATTCCTGAGCGAAGGAATTATTATGGTGTGGAGGTGGGGACCTCCTTACTACATTCCAAATTGCAATAAGGTTGTAAGGGTTTTCTCTTCCATTCTGAAGTACTTTGACAATAGTTTTGAACTTCAAAAATGTTTATTAAAGGTGTTTTCACAGCAGTTTCATAATGTTTAATTTGTTAATTACTGGAATTGATGCTAAATAAAACAGGCAAGTAATACTTCAGATGGCTTCATCTTCAGAGTCTTCTTCATGTGTGACTCAAAATGCACAATTTTGGCCGGGCACAGTGGCTCACGCCTGTAATCCCAGCACTTTGGGAGGCTGAGACAGGCGGATCACCTGAGGTCAGGAGTTTGAGACCAGTTTGGCCAACATGGTGAAACCCCATCTCTACTAAAAATACAAAAATTAGATGGGCATGGTGGTGTGTGCCTGTAATCCCAGCTGCTTGGGAAGCTGAGGCAGGAGAATTGATTGAACCCAAGAGGCGGGGCTTGCAGTGAGCCGAGATCCCGCTCCAGCCTGGGCAACAAGAGCGAGACTCCGTCTCAAAAAAAGAAAAAAAAAGCACAATTTCAGGACAGCCTAAGCAAATAAAAAATGGGAAATGGAAATGGATTCGAAGCAGGGAGGACGTTCCGCCCACTGTCACACCGAAGGAATGGTGGAGGCTGTGAGTCCTCCGCCCACTGTCACACCGAAGGATGGTGGAGGCTGTGAGTCCTCCTGTAAGCCGCCGCTGGAGAAGGGGCAGCTCTGGAACCTGACGACATTCTCCTATCTTGCATGAGGTGGAGACAAAGAGTCCTTCTGCGCTGGGACAGGATGAGGGCGAAGTGGTGACTTCAGGTCAGAAGCAGAGCCTTGGGGACCTCTGATTCTCAAGGGCGAGCTCCCTCCAGAACCCCAAGAGATGGCCCTGACTGCATGGGAAAGCGTGTCTCACCATTGCAATGTTCTCTAAGTCTGGAGGAGGCGGAGCCCAGTGAGAATGACAGGCAGACCGCAAGGAGGCCCGGAAGCCCCCCATGGCGAGGATGCATCCAAGTGTATTCTGTAGGAGTGACCAGTGGCCACGTGGGTAGTGGGCAGAGCTTGTTTTCCTCCAATATCAGCGTACAGAGCAGGGGAGCCTGGTGAAGGTTTCTCTCTGAAATCATGGATTCAGCTGTATTAGTTTCTATCCAAGGCTGGCATAGCTCACCTTCCACTCCAGCAATGACCTCGGGCCAGCTGTCACGAGCCTTCTCACCACGAGGATGGTCTGGGGTGGTGAGATCTCACTGTTGGCCATAATTCATTCAACATTTCTTCACTTCTCTGCTTGTAAGTTTTCATTTCCTCTGCAGCTGGTAGCTTCTGTCATTTCTTTTCCTATTTATACCAGTCCTGAATCAGCTTCTTTTTCAGAACCATGCATTTCTCTCGGTAGAGGTCGTTAAGAATCTCTCCACTTTCTGCTGCAAGATTTTTTCTTTTGCTTTCTGGCAGAATTTTGGTCGAATGTCATGCCTACATGACCCCTCATCAGTCAGGGTATGTTGGAAACAAAGGATTTGGCAAACATTTGTCCATCAGCACTTCATCCTCCTCCTTCTCTGATTTCTTTAAAAAAAGAAAAAGAGGCCGGGCACGGTGACTCACGCCTGTAATCCCAGCACTTTGGGAGGCTGAGGCAGGCGGATCACTTGAGGTCGGGAGTTTGAGGCCAGCCTGACCAACATGGAGAAACCCCGTCTCTACTAAAAATACAAAACTACCCGAGCATGGTGGTACATGCCTGTAATGCCAGCCACTTGGGAGTCTGAGGCAGGAGAATCACTTGAACCCGGGAGACAGAGGTTGCAGTGAGCTGAGATCATGCTGTTGCACTCCAGCCTGGGCAACAAGAGTGAAACTACATCTCAAAAAAGAAAAAAAAGAACCTTCTCACTCCAGTGATCTGCTTCAACTATAAAATGCAATGTTTTAAAACTTTAATTTCCCTCTCTTTGTAAGCAGTAGTTTCTTATATATCTTTCAAAGATTTCACATTCGAGTTTGTTAGTTCCCTGAGCTCAGTGTATTTCTTATTCCAATCATCTTTCCCCAGTATTTGTTCCATGCACCTCTGAAATTTGGTTATTTTTTTCTTATGCTTGTTGGAACTTAGCCTTTTTTTTTTTAACTTAGCCTTTATTGTGACATATTTTTCCCTCTGAAAATTTAACCCAATGCTATATTAAAATGTGTACTTTTTTCATAGAGTTTTGGCTTTTTTTTTTTTTTAAGACGGAGTCTCGTTGTGTCGCCAGGCTGGAGTGCAGCGACGCGTTCTCAGCTCACTGCAACCTCTGCCTCCCGGATTCAAGTGATTCTCCTGCCTCAGCCTTCTGAGTAGCTGGGACTACAGGCACACTCCACCACGCCTAGTTAATTTTTGTATTTTTAGTAGAGATGGGGTTTCACCACGTTGGCCAGAATGGTCTTGATCTCTTGACTTCATGATCCCCCTGCCTCAGCCTCCCAAAGTGCTATGATTACAGGCGTGAGCCACCGCGCCCGGCCCAGAGTTTTGGCTTTCTAGTAGTTTGTCCTGTTTCTTTATGTGACATTTGTCCTTAGCAGCAAAAATAAGAAGCAGCTTTTCTCCAGGAATCCGATTCCCTTCTTTAGGCCCCCTGACTGTCTCATCCTGCTCACCTCAAACACAGTTGTGTTCTGTACCCTGAGTTCCTGAGAAGATGCTTTGCTGCTTTGATCTTCTGCCTAAAATCTCACAATTGTTTAAGAGTCAGTGTTTTCATGTGGTAGTGTAGTTTTATGCGGTCTATTGTTCCATCCCTTGATGTCTTCTACTCTTTGTAGCAGGAATAGCTTCCAGAATAAACTGACAAACAGCCAGTTCCCTGCAAGGTAATAATTCCAACCGCCAGGGAACCTGGCAGACCCCTAGCAGCACCTCGAAAGAGCCTGTCAACATCCTTCCTGAAGGCGCAGAGCTTTCCACAGCTGAGGGACTTCTGCATTTGTCTCTAGGCCATTTCAGAGGCACCTCATTCCTTAGTTCACAGGCTGTCACACAGCCTCTGCCAGTACCTGCAAACCTCTGTATGGTACTTTCATTCTGAGACCTACTTCTACATTCTCTGGGGTCCTTTTTTTCCCCTAAACAGGATTCACAAGAACAATATTTTTTTAGTTCTTCTATGTTCAAAAATATATGTTACCTTTAAAAAATCCTTGGGCACATTTTCCTTGAAAATGTTATAGAAATTGTTTTATTATCTTCTAGCATTGACTATTGTTTTAGAAAAGTCTGAAACAACCCTGATTTCCCCACCCCACCTTATAAGAGTGACTTGATCTTTTTTCTAACTTGCCCAGAAGATCCTTCCTTTATCAAAGAGCTCCAGGAAGTTGATACTTTTTATCTTTCCTCAATTTCCTAAAAGTTGGGGTTTGCATTTCCTCCATTGAGTGACTTCTGAAAGAAGCAGAAAGTTTACTTGGTTCTGTCTTCTCCAGACCTCATCACCAAGACAGTAGTCTGTTTAACACCCCTGATTTGCATGCCAAGAAAGAGAGTGCAGACTAGTGGGCCAGTTGGGGTGGCTCACGCATGTAATTTCAGCATGTTGGGAGGCCAGGCAGGAGAATAGCTTGAGCCCAGGAGTTTGAGACCAGCCTGAACAATATAGGGAGACCTAGTCTCTAAGAAAATAAAATATAGGCCGGGTACAGTGGCTCACCCCTGTAATCTCAGCACTTTGGGAGGCCAAGGCGGGTGGATCATGAGGTCAGGAGATCGAGACTAGCCTGACAAACATGGTGAAACCCTGTCTCTACGAAAAATACAAAAATTCGCCAGGCGTGGTGGGGCACACCTGTAATCCCAGCTACTCAGGAGGCTGAGTCAGGAGAATTGCTTGAACCTGGGAGGCGGAAGTTGCACTGCGATCACGCCACTGCATTCCAGCCTGGCAACAGAGTGAGACTCTGTCTCAAAAAAAAGAAACAAAGAAAAAGAAAAAAAAAATTAAAAAACAAATAAGCAAACAAGAAAGTGCAGGGGGCCGGGCACAGTGGCTCATGCCTGTAATCCCAGCACTTTGGGAGGCCAATGCGGGTGGATCACGAGGTCAGGAGTTCGAGACCAGCCTGGCCAACATGGTGAAACCCCGTCTCTACTAAAAATACAAAAATCAGCCAGGCATGATGGGAGCGCCTGTAGTCCCAGCTACTCGGGAGGCTGAGGCAGGAGAATCACTTGAAACCGGAAGACGGAGGTTGCAGTGAGCCAAGATCACGCCACTGCACTCTAGCCTGGGTGAAAGAGCGAACTCTGTCTCAAAAAAAAAAAAAAAAGAAAGAAAGAAAAAGAAAGAAAGAAAGAAAGAAAGAAAGAAAGAAAGAAAGAAAGAAAGAACAAAGAAAAGAAAGTGCAGACTAGTAATTCAACTCTGATTCCTGAGGAAGTATTTCCTTCTCTCCTTCCACTCTGTCTTAACCAGAAATCTTAGTTATGCATTACCAACATAGACAAACAAGGGTGAAAACGCAGGCGTAGGAAAATGGCTATAGGGAAGTGAAAGATGATTGCAGAGGAGGGCATATCATCCAGGCCCTTCCACGCTCACCACAGCCAGGAGCCGCAAAGTCTGGGAAGGATGGGATGTGGGCTGGACCTGGCCAAGAGGTAATTATGGAGAAAGAGGAGGAAGGTTTCTTTGTACTTAATCTGCAGAACAATCTGCTCCTGCTTCAGGTTAGAGGTACCTGGGGGCTTTTCCTAATTGCCTTATATTTGTGATTTTTTTAACCCAAGTTCTGTTATTATTTGCCCGTGCTTAGTTTCAGGCAATGTGGAAGGTATAAAGGCCAATGAACTAACTCGAATCCAATCAGGAGTTCTCAGAATGGGGCAGGCAAGAGCATCTGTTGGAGCATGGGAAGAAAATCAGAACCTCTGTTTGTTTCATATAAAAATAAAGAAATTATGCTTTAGGTAGTTAGAGTTCAAAATGACACAGGTGCCCTCACAGGATGCTTATGTTTTGTGGCCATGTGTCATGAATTGTTCCCTGGAAAGGGAGATCCATAAAGGAGGAACTGTAGCTGGGTTTGCTGAGCATATTATCTCCTGTTTGCTCCCCTGACTTGCACAACTGGCAAGCGGCTTTAAAGCCGACAGCAAAGAAGCTGCAAAATGAAGATGACATTAGTGATATGAACACGCACAAAAAATAAGGAAATGGCCAGGTTGACACTCTGCTCCTTTATATAAGCTCTCTGTCAAGCCCATTTCAGGGTAAGAAAGTCATGAGGAACCCCAAGTCTGCCTAGATGTTGGCCAAAATAAAACTGGAAGTAATAGAAAAGTTGGAAATATTAATATCTGATATCATTAACAATGTACCTCATACTAAGTATATTGTGCCTTGGAATATTAGCTTATAAGAATAAATATATATAATTTAAGAATAAATAAATATACATATATTGGGAATGTATACCCTCCTTTTTCTTTTGTTAATAGAGATATACAATGAAAACTCATTACACCACTGCTCTGATGTAATAAATGCAAAACCTGTACCAGTCCTATGATGCAAACTGGGGGCATAGAGCATAGGCAGTCCATTGCTCCTGGCAACTAGTGGGACGTATCACAGATAGATGAGCTGCATCATGAAGAATGAGTGAGATGCCCCAGGCGAGGAAGCAGAGAGGGTCATTCCAGGTAATGGATTAGTGTGAGCAGAGACTCAGAAACTTCAGAGAGCATGTCCTTTTTGGAGATCAGTGTGCAGGTTAATGTCCCCTGGAATGGACTGCATATACCAGACGGGTGGCAAATAACACTGGAAAGGTAGGTAATGTCCAGACTGAAGGACCTGAATTGTATGATAAGTGTTTGGACCACATACTATAAGCAATACAGAGTTGATGGAGATGTATGAACAACCTACAGAATGGGAGAAAATATTTGCAATATGCCGCAGACAAAGGACTAATATCCAGAATTTATAAGGAACTTAAATCAGCAAGAAAAGAATCAATAACCCCATTAAAAAGAGAGCAAAGGATATGAACAGACATTTTTCAAAAGAAGACATACAAGTGGCCAACAAACATGAAAAAAATGCTCAACATACTGATCATTAGGAAAATGTAAATCAAAATCACAATGAGATACCACTTCACAGCAGTCATTATTATTAAAAAGTAAAAACAAAACAAAACAAAAAAAAACAGATATTGGCAAGGCTGCAGAGAAAAAGGAATGCTTATTTGCTGTTGGTGCGAATGTAAATTAGTTCGGCCACTGTGGAAAGCAGTTTGGAGATTTCTCAAAGAACTAAAAATAGAACTACCATTCAACCCAGCAGTCCCATTACTGGGTATATACCCCCCGCCCCAAAAAAATCATTCTACCAAAAAGACACATGAGCTCCTGTGTTCCTCATAGCACTATTCACAATAGCAAAGACATGGAATCAACCTAGGTGCCCATCAATGGTGGAATGGATTAAGAAAATGTGGTACACACACACCACAGAATACTACACAGCCCTTAAAAAAAAGAAAACAAAATCACGTCCTTGGCAGCAACATGGATGCAGCTGAAGGTCATTATCCTAAGCGAAATAATACAGAAACAGAAAACTAAATACTGCATGTTCTCACTTATAAGTGGGAGCTAAATATTGGGTGCACACGGACAAAAAGATGGGAACAATAGACGCTGAGGACTCCAAAAGGAGAGAAGGAAGGAGCAGAGCAAGGGCTGAAAAACTCCCTATTGGGTACTACGTTCACTATCTGGGTAACCAGGTCGATAGAAGCCCGGACGCTCAGCATCATGCAATATACCCTCGTAATAAACCCGCACATGGACTCCCTGAATCTAAAATTAAAATAGAAATTTTAAAAAAGAAGCAGGCTGGGCATGTGAAGCCCAAAGAACTCCGTTTGGAAACTGCACTGCTGTCTCTGCAGTGTGGCCACAGTGACTGCCCGCCCACCAAGCATCTAGAGCCCAGAGGCAGGGGTGTTGCTGCATGGATGTGTCCACCTGGATACGCACGTTTTCATTTCATTTAAATGGCAAACAAAGGTCTTGGGCAGATTTCGAAAAGCACTGGTGAGCTGCGGAGACATTTCCGAGCAGGAGCTGATGTGGAGGGTTTTCAGCGCCGGGTGAGGGTCCCGCAGCCACAGCGATGTTCTAGCCTCCGCCGCGGAACTCACAGAGGTTCCCCCGCCATAGCCTCCCGCGTGCGCTCCTGCGCTTCCACCAGACCTTATTTATAAGTCTGTTGATTTCGCAGGCCGCACCTTGCAAGGGGCACACGGTCCGTCTTATTATTTCATAATCACTTCTTCTCTTTTTGTTTTCCACCCGGCCTGGCTCTGTGTCTAGGACTCAGCGTGCATTCCCTGGGCTCGGCCTGCCCCGCCTGCCTAAGAATCCCACAAATCATTGACAGCGTGGGGGAGGGGAGATTGCCTGTAGCAGGGAAATGGCGCCCTAGAAAAGCCAGGATGCTACTCCCTCCGCCGATTTGTAGGACAAAGCAGGCAAAGCTCTCTCGTGGAAGCTCGGCTCTCTCAGTCCCGACCGAGGCCATTATAACTCAAATTCACAACCTCCGGGGATGCGAAAACACCCGGCCTTACTGAGGAACAAAGGGCAAGTGTTCCCGCACTGCGCTGCGTTCGTGGGCTCGGGGTTTTCGCTGCTGGTTCCAGCTTTTGGTTGCCCTGCTTGGCTGGTCCCTGCGGGGCCCACGGCTGCGGAAGGACAGGGCTCTGAGGCTGCCACCCCGCAGCCCCTGCGACTAAACAGTGCCGGGCAGCTCCGCCGGGGCCGCTGGCTTCCCAGGCGGAGGAGGGAAGGCCTGGGGGGAAGGGGGAGGGCAATGGAATAGAAACTGGGGAGCGACAAAGCTGAGAAGGCGCAGATCTTGGCGGATCCCGGGAGCTTCCTCCACTGTGTCCTTTCCGCAGTCACAGTATGGGGCTGCGACCGCTTCCTAGCCCCCATGCCCCGGGCATTTGGCTCTTTTACATAAATGCTAGGATTGGTAGCTTTCCAATATTTCTAAATGGAGAGCTATGAGAAGAGGTGATGTGTGTGTGTGTGTGTGTGTGTGTGTGTGTGCGTGTGTGTGTGTAAGGAAATAATGATGGATTTGCAGTCTCTTTCTTTCAACTCCTCTTCATTCATTGGCTAAGTGTCGGTTGCCTAGGAAACCGCGTGCATCTCGGCTGCAGAGCCAGCTATGGGGGCTGCGGGCTGGGTTTTTGGGGTTTTAAGCGGTGAATCCTGGCAAGCAGTGAAGAACCCTAATGCTAAATGTCTAGTAATTTCAATAAATGTGTCAAAAATATATGCTACATTATGAAAACAGTGCTTTAAAAATTTACTACTATATAAAGCCTCTTTTCTATCAGACTTCTTCAAACAATGACTGTGTGTGTAATAGAGAAATGCAAATTCACTTGAGGACATGCCGTTGAAAGTAATCTGAAAATTGTGAAAGCAAATATAATTTTAATAGTTTAAGGGATATCTTGCTCACCTCAGTCACGCAATAGATTACGTATAAAACAAATGTTGAATTGTATTTTATGCAGCAATATTTCTACAATTGTCTCTGGAAGGGAAAATTTTTAAATGTTAGTACATCATCAAGACTAACATTAAGAGATCATGAAATATGTTGCCCCGAAATCTTCGTGCCTGATATACGATGACCTAGATTGAGACGCATTGCATATAATGAATAGACAGAAATGCTGGGGACCCAACTGAAAACGACTTTTTTTTTCTTTGAAAGCCGGGTACCAGTCTCTTTATGCGAGCTACATGGATTAAGAATGATTTTTTTGTTTAAGGGTTATCAGATAAACTGAAAGACTTCAGGGAAAGGTGTGGCTGTTGTCAACATTTTAACACAAAATCGGCTCCTTGTGAAAATAAAAATGTGCAGCATCACAATTCCAGTGGGGGTGGGGGTGGGGGTGCGATGTAGACCGGTTAACAAGACTGGCTGCCCGGAAGGGGCAGGGGTGTGGGGACAATTCGAGCAAAATGCTTGAAAGGAAAGCAGATCTTGGGCCAAAAGTGTCCCCAAGGGCACTCTGGGCTTTCAGAAGGATGATTTCCAGCCTCATCCTATCCCAAACCAACCCCTTTAAAAGAAACCTGAGAGGAAAGGGTCTTTTCATCTATCTATATGATCTTGAACACGCGTTTTCACCCGGGCACTGAATGGAGATTTGGCTCGGAAACAGAAGCTGAGAAATGAATTGGTTAGATGAAGGAGGCAGGCGGCCAGCTCAAGTTACTCAGCATGGAGCTGAGCGGCCCCCAACCCCACCCCCCAGCGCTGAGCATCAGGGTTGCTCCTGGGAGCTCGCAGCGAGGGGGTGACCGCTCCGAGTGTGTCTACACTCGCCGCGCGGGTGCCGCCCTAGCTCTGTTCCTTCCGGCGCAGCTTGGTCCCACCAGAGCCGCCACCTCGAGGCTGACACCTGCCACAGCCCTTTTGGCCGAGATGCGGTCACTTTCCCTGAGGTCTGGTGTGCCCAAAAGACGAGATTCCAGTCCGAGCCCTGTCCTCAACTTGCTGTATGACCTTGGGAATTGCTAGCCCTCGACGTTTCGGCATCTGCAGGATCTGGATTAGAAACTCGGAGGTCAGGCCCCGAGACCTTGGTACCGGGAGAGCAGGGCATGTGGACAGACCCTCCGCTGCTCTCTGCCTCTCGGTAGACCCCACCCTCACCCGGGCACGCCGGCCGGGTCTGGAATACCGGCCGGCGAGCTCCAGTCTGGGCGCCCTGGATGTTTGGGGGCGCCTGGGCTTTTGTTCTCGCTACTTCTCTTTGTACATTGGAATCGACTTGAACCCCCCACCCTCCACCCCACAGCGGGAAAGGGAGGCGATGACAGCTTGCTGATAGTTCTGGGAGGGTCTCGCTCAACAGCTGCAGGCTGAGCTCCGCCGCGTGCGCCCGGGTCATTCGGCCTTTCTCGCCAGGGGATGAAAGAGGTCACGTCACCTCGCCAACGGCCCTTCCGAAGTGTGGGGCGGCGCGCTTCAGTCATCGAATTGCAGGGAACAGGTTGTGCAGTGAACGTTTCTGACACCCTTTCCCCTCCCGCCCTCAAACGCACGCAGGATTAGTCTCTCTCTCTCTCTCTTTCTCTCTCTCTCTCACACACACACACACACACGCGCGCGCGAAAAGTAACAAAGAGACCAGTTCCTGCCTCAGTACCTAGAGACTGCGGATCTGAAGGGAGGGTCTGTGCTCCAAGTCTGTGCACGCGCTCGTGCGAGTGCGCGTGGGTCTTGGGTCGTCTCGCGCGCGCTGGGCTGCAGTTTTTAGTCGTATTCCCCACCCTTCAACCGCAGCACGAAGCCTCGGACCTCCAGGTCGCCGCGATGGAAGATAAGAAAGTTTGTTACTCGGGCTTGGGCCACCCTTGGAACCCACCCTCTTACTTGACAATAGATGAACTGAATCCGAGGGCGGGGTGGGGGGGTGGGGCGCCTGTCGTGTGGTTTTAAATACTGGGTTACACAGCGTATCCCACGTTTCTGAGAGCCCTTTGTTCCGCCGACAGCCCCGCCCCCGGGACCCCACCCTCTTTCTGCCCTCCGGACGGTCAGTGCAGCGCCACCGGCCACTCCCACTCCATCACTAGCGAGCAACAAAAGTCAACCCCCGGGGCAGAGGGCTCCTGGGTACCAGCAGGGGCGTTATGCACTCCCGGAGAGGGTCGGGCAGGGCTGAGGGGCTCCGAGGTCGCTTCACCCCTAGATGCTGCGGCGCAGTGAGAGGAGCTACCAGCCCAAGACAGACAAAGGAGAAAGCAGGCCCACGCTGGGGCGGGGGCGGAGGCCGCGCTGGTGTTCATGGGCCGCAGGTGTCCCGGTTGCCATCAAGCACGACTTCCTTCTGGGGCCACCTGTCCTCCCCCAGGCCTCTGTGAGACGGAGCGCCGCCTGGGCAGTCGCTGGCCTCCAGGGTTGAGGAAAAAGACGGTGGTCTCACCAGGGGCAGTTGGCTGGAGGGACTCTGGCCAGTGGCCGAGTAGGAGCCGCAGTCCGAGGTGGCGGAGCAGCCTGTGCCACCTCAGCCCTCCCACCTGCCGGCACTGGAGCACCTGACGGCTTCTCCACATGCTCCAGTCCTCCATCGTTCCCATCCGGTGCCAGCTCTGCCCCCACCCCGGTCAGGACGCGCTGGTGGCCCTCGCCTCGCCGCCCTCTCACCCTCCTTTTCTTCACTGTTCCCCCATATCCCCATACCCAGACCCCCACCACAGCCCCAGACAATGCGCACGCCCCCACCATACTCCCGGTAGCCCCCACCCCTCTCCCGGTCGGCACGCCCGCTCTGATTGGCCGCGGGCCGGTGGTCCAGCCCCCCGGACGGTCCCTAGGGCTCGGAGCATTACGTCAGCCGGGCCTGGAGAGCGCCAGCGCGAAGGGGACTGGGGGGCTCGGGCTGGGGGCGCGGCCTGTGCCGGCCGCCCCACCCTCCTTGCATAAAAGCCGGAGCCCGCGGGGCCGGCGCTCTCAGCCCGTCGGTTCCCGAGCGCCTTCCCGGTGACCCCGCAGTGGGTGTGTGAGGGGAGGACGGACAGACCCAGACGCCGCCGGACCAGGAGGACGCTGACGAGGCACCATGCGTGAGATCGTGCACATCCAGGCGGGCCAGTGCGGCAACCAGATCGGCGCCAAGGTGGGCGCGCCGCAGCGGAGGGGGTCCAATGGGGGCGCGAACCTGGGCCGAGAGCCCCTCGGGGTCCCCAGGCGCGGTCCTGGGAAGGCCTGGGGATCGCCAAATGCAGACCTTCCTGGCCGCTTTGTGCCGCCGAGTGTGGCCTGGGCTAGGAGGTGACTTTCGCGGACGGAGGGGGCACCTCTCTTTCTTTCTGCTGTAACTCATTTGGAGTCCCCGTCACCCCCTCGGCCTCCCTCCGCGCTGGCTGCTTGGCAGGCACGCGTGCCTGGAGAAGACGAGGGTGTGTCCGCGAGGCTGTGCGCGGCGCTCCGCGCGAGGGGCTGGGACACCAGGAGGATTAATTGTACTCGCTTGAACCGGAGTCGAGCTGCCGGGGGAGGGGAGGAGAGCGATTGTCTTGCGGTCTCAGGACGTGCTTTGAATCTAAAACCGCGGTCCTTTAGCTCCTTTGCGTTCCTCTTTCCCCGCCCACCCGCTCCTGGCGGGCTGCAGTCCCTGTGCCCTCGCCTCCTGCCGCAGCCTGGGGCTGCGACCAGTGCGCCAAGCTCCGCCACTGCCCGGCTTTGGCTGGTCCTTACCCCCTCGACCCCTACCTCCCCCCGCGAGCGGCAGCTGTTTGCCTGGGAAACGCCCAGTTTCAACTTTCTGAACCTGCAAAATACAAGCCCCGCGGCTGTGCCCGGGTCACGACGCCCTTTAAAGCTTCAAGCTCCTGAAATGTTGGGTTGTCGGAACTGAGTCGGGGACATTTCATTGTGAGCCTTGGCGTTTCTGGGGGCATCGTTCATGGCTAAATGCAGCCTTTCTGTCTCAGTTTTGGGAGGTCATCAGTGATGAGCATGGGATTGACCCCACTGGCAGTTACCATGGAGACAGTGATTTGCAGCTGGAGAGAATCAATGTTTACTACAATGAAGCCACTGGTAATCACCCTTGCCCCACCCCCACTCCCTTCAGTTTTTCCACCTTCTCCCCTTTCCCTTGCGTGGGACCCCAGGGGTGTGGCCCTGGGAGAGGGTGGACTATTCAGTTTAGGATCCCCGCTCTTTCCCTGCAGTATTTCATTGGGCTTCCTTATGCCAACAGAGCCCTTTGAGAACCTGATGGTGGGTCTCCCTTTGTTTGGGGCAACATCTGCATGATGGCAGCAGGCGCCAAGCCCTTCTCTGCAGAGGTCCTTGCCTGAGGGTCTAAGTCACTGTTGTTCCTTGCAGGTAACAAATATGTTCCTCGGGCCATCCTCGTGGATCTGGAGCCAGGCACGATGGATTCGGTTAGGTCTGGACCATTCGGCCAGATCTTCAGACCAGACAATTTCGTGTTTGGTGAGTGCCTGGTGTGGCTGAGAGCATGAGGGATTCATTTTACGCTGGGCAGTGGAGGCTGAAGAGGTGTGATTGCCAGAGGGAAAGCATGAAGAACATCCGCGGTGTGCCAACTTAGCTTTAATATAGTGTAAAATTGTTTGCCTTTCAGCTGCTAAGAGCTTGGTGTCCTGGCCTTCCTTATTTATAATTATATTCATGAACAAATATTTTAACGTTTGGCCATTTTGGTGATAATCTGAAATAGTCTTATCTGAGCATTGACTCACTGATCTATATTGAGGGGTTTGAGGTAAGGTATTTAGTACAATCACCGGTGACTTAAGATTTCTCTTTCCCTCTGGCAGGCCAGAGTGGAGCCGGGAATAACTGGGCCAAGGGCCACTACACAGAGGGAGCCGAGCTGGTCGACTCGGTCCTGGATGTGGTGAGGAAGGAGTCAGAGAGCTGTGACTGTCTCCAGGGCTTCCAGCTGACCCACTCTCTGGGGGGCGGCACGGGGTCCGGGATGGGCACCCTGCTCATCAGCAAGATCCGGGAAGAGTACCCAGACCGCATCATGAACACCTTCAGCGTCATGCCCTCACCCAAGGTGTCAGACACGGTGGTGGAGCCCTACAACGCCACCCTCTCGGTCCACCAGCTGGTGGAAAACACAGATGAAACCTACTGCATTGACAACGAGGCCCTGTATGACATCTGCTTCCGCACCCTGAAGCTGACCACCCCCACCTACGGGGACCTCAACCACCTGGTGTCGGCCACCATGAGCGGGGTCACCACCTGCCTGCGCTTCCCGGGCCAGCTGAACGCAGACCTGCGCAAGCTGGCGGTGAACATGGTGCCCTTCCCTCGCCTGCACTTCTTCATGCCCGGCTTCGCGCCCCTGACCAGCCGGGGCAGCCAGCAGTACCGGGCGCTCACGGTGCCCGAGCTCACCCAGCAGATGTTCGACTCCAAGAACATGATGGCCGCCTGCGACCCGCGCCACGGCCGCTACCTGACGGTGGCTGCCATCTTCCGGGGCCGCATGTCCATGAAGGAGGTGGACGAGCAGATGCTCAACGTGCAGAACAAGAACAGCAGCTACTTCGTGGAGTGGATCCCCAACAACGTGAAGACGGCCGTGTGCGACATCCCGCCCCGCGGCCTGAAGATGTCGGCCACCTTCATCGGCAACAGCACGGCCATCCAGGAGCTGTTCAAGCGCATCTCCGAGCAGTTCACGGCCATGTTCCGGCGCAAGGCCTTCCTGCACTGGTACACGGGCGAGGGCATGGACGAGATGGAGTTCACCGAGGCCGAGAGCAACATGAACGACCTGGTGTCCGAGTACCAGCAGTACCAGGACGCCACGGCCGACGAACAAGGGGAGTTCGAGGAGGAGGAGGGCGAGGACGAGGCGTAGATGCCCCCGCGAGACGGGTTAGGGAAAGCGGAGGAGGAAAGCGAGGGGGTGGGGGGCTTCCCGGGACGATAACCTGGCAGTGGAAGGAAAGAAGCATGGTCTACTTTAGGTGTGCGCTGGGTCTCTGGTGCTCTTCACTGTTGCCTGTCACTTTTTTTTTCCTTTTTTGTAATATTGATGACATCAATGTAACATTTGAGATATTTCTGAATTACTGTTGTAATGGCTAAAATCACATAAACGTTTGTGTCGGAATGGTGTCCTCTCTTTCTCTTCCTTTTTCTCTTTATTAACGATTTAAATGTAACTTTCTGAACACATTGCATTGAATTCTTCCTTTAACAAAAAGCAAAGGCGTAGGTAAAAGCTCAAATGAATTTATTCTTTCGGTATGGTAAAATTGAACCAATCACAGTTAAGATGAGAGATCAACCTGAGTTTTAAAATACCTTTAATAAATATTAGTTGAAAAAATGTCTACTTGAAAGCACAGTGTGTGTCTTCATGTGCAATTCCTACTATGCTTTTATCTCCTTTACAAAAAAAAAAAAAGCATTTTTGGAATAGTTCCTACATACTCACAGCACAAAATTCTGAAGAGTGGAAAGTGAGTGTGTCTTTTTCCTGTGTTCCTTGATGCAGTTTCCTCCCTGGAGGGAAACCATCCTAATCACGGTTATCTTTCTTACTTCCTTGCAGAAATACTCCATATATTTTCAAACCCATGTAGGATATTTCCTTTTTCTCTTTCTTCACACACATGATGTGATACTAACACAATTCTGCAGCCTTCTTCACTAAACAGTGTATCTTGAACCTACAGAGAGCTTCCCTCCTTTAAATGGATATGTAGCGTCCATTATATAGTTGTGCTATGTTTTATTTAGCCAATTCCCTACCAATGGTCATTAAGGTTTATACTTACAGCATAGTGTCACAATGAATAATTTTGTTCATTTATTAGTGTGCATATGAGAATAGTTATCCTGTAAATTTCCACAAATGGAATTTTTTGTCAAAGGCATGTGCCTTTTTAAGTTATATCACCTGCACTTAGGAATAGCTATAGAGTTATAAACAGTGAATAGGCTCATTCTCAATTCTCAAGCAACTTTTTCTCCAGGCAATCATATTTATACTATATTACAAACTATTTGTACTTATTTTTAACATCATTTGAGTTTAGATGGAATTATAAATTCTGCATTGTTGGGGAATTTTACTTTAAGTAGGCAATCCAGAATAATTTTCAGCCTATTGCATTTTTTTTTCCATGCAGAAATAGGATTTGGGATTTGAACCCAAGTCTGACTCTGGACTTGAACTCAACCACTAAAGAAGCTATAGGATTTCAATAATGGATTTTCAGTTAAGATGTTCCTATGGGATAAATTATACCTTGTCAAAATACTGCTGATACTCTGCTTTAATCTGAGCTAGTTTCTCATTTTGAGAAGAGAAAAAGAGTGTGAGTTATAAGCAAAGGTACAAAACTTATTTACACACCCCTATAGAAAGAAAGGATCATGAAAACCAGGTTTAAGATTTTTCTAGTTTTCACACAAACTCAAAATTAGAAAAAATATGACCTTAAACCTGACCTTATATTTATTTTATTCTGCTTGGTCCTACACTTACTTAAATGTTAAAAAAAGAAAGAAAAGTGTAGATACAAGATTTCCATTATTTAAAAGGCTGAAATATATTTGAAAATAGTTCCAAAGAAAACCATAAGCAGTATAATTCCAAATAGTGTGAAAATAAGTTAATTCTGCCACATGGCTCCCATAAATGGAAAAGAGCACAATTCACTTTACCAAGCATTATATACCTCTAAAACTTGACTGAGTGATGAGTAGGGTCAGACAGGTGTCTGGAGCCAGTGGCTTCAGCTCAGTTTTCTATATTTAGCTGCAGACTGGCAGATGTGATTCCTGCTGAGCTGGTGTAAAGCTTCCAACAACTGAATTGAAGGGTGGCATTAGCTTTAAATGCCCCAAACACCTGGGGCAGCTGCCAAGGTCCCCTGGATCTATCCTTGGGCATGCATTCCCTACAACCTGTCAGGCATGCGTTCAGTACCCTCGGAGACTAGTGGGATTGTATCCAAGAGCCTCTTGGCATACTGGACGTGTGGTACTTCTCTTCCACCTGGTGAGAAGGGGACAGGCAGGCACCAGTAGGCCAGCTTGCTAGCCTGTCAGTACAACCACGTATGGAATGCTAAAGCTTATTTTGGCATGGTTAGAATAGTTGGTGCCAAACTGACCTGCCAAGCAGATCTTCTGGGGCCTAATACAGATTTTAAATGCATACATTTAAAAAAGTTCAAAATGAGGAAAATGCTCAGACTAATTCCTGGATGAAGATACTATTTTGGAATCATTAGTTTCATTTGTTACATGACCTTTATGTGATGGGATTTGGTGGTGCTGATGGTGGTGGTGGTGGTGATGATGGTGATCGTGGTGGTGATTGTGTTGGTGGTAGTGGTAGTGGTGGTGGTGATGGTGGTGATGGTGATGATGGTGATAGTGGTGGTGGTGGTGGTGGTAATGGTGGTGGTGGTGGTGATGTGGTAGTGTGGTGGTGGTGGTGGTGGTGGTGGTGATGGTGGTGGTGGTGGTGATAGTGGTGGTGGTGGTGATGGTGGTGGTGGTAGTGATGGTGATGATGGTGATAGTGGTGATTGTGATGGTGGTGGTGGTAGTAGTGGTGATGGTAGTAGTGGTGATGGTGGTGGTGGTGGTAGTGTGGTGGTGGTGGTGATGTGGTGATGGTGGTAGTGGTGGTGTGTGTCTGTTTTCAACACTTCCCGAAAGAAATGTTTTATCCCTCCTTGACGTGCCCTGAGGAGGATATTTACTTCCAAGCAGACACAATATCCAAATTACAAGAGCCACTGAGATGTGATGCATGATTCAGAGACTGGGGTTTGGGGAGGGGAGCTGAAGTCACCCTGAGATCATCCAGAGAGTCTGAGAAGGAACTAAAACCTCAGTGCGCTCTAAGTTGGCCTGCTCCTCTGCATCAGCCTCAGGGATGATCTAAGACTACGGTAGATTTTCCATTGTATCACCAAAAGTGATTGATATTAGATTGATAGCAATTTGAACAAAAATTACCTTAAGAGATCATCTCATTTGCCCTCCTTGGTATGTAAGTAGGGAAACTGAGGATCAGAGAATTATCTAAGATCCCAGAACACTTTCTGTACAAATTGGGTCTTACACCCAGTGCTGACTTCACTGCAGCTGCATGGCTCAGGTTCTGTTGTATACAAAGCCACGTGAGGATCATGAAGAAGGGAAAGATGAGTTCCCTGGCATCAAGGAAAACCTGAACGTGTGCCTAGGTCCCACTCAACGTTTCCAGATGGGTTGGCCACAGACATAGTACCAGCCTTTTGTCTGTAATGAGGTCACTGACAGGTGATGTTGAATTGCCTGGTTTTAAAACACCACATACACAATGCTCTAATACAAACACGGTTGAAAAGGGAATATTCTACCAGGGTTTAGCTATTGTGAAAAAAAGTAGGAAGTTAAGGAGGACAGGAGTGGCCCTTTTTTCAAATCCCCATTTTAGTTAAGATGTGGCTTGGCAAACTGCTATAAGGCTAATTTCTTTCTGGTGTGTAAAAGATGTCCTATTGAGAGGTCATGCTTTTCTAAATGCACTTCAAAGTTGAGCCATTCCCTTGAAAAGACTCTTCCATACCTTTGTTTTTTAACCACCCTGCCTTCCTGCCTCCCCACCCCTCGTGTTTCTCTGCAGGTGTGCTTGTCAACACACAGCCAAAGAAGCTTAATTTGGTGCATTCTATTTCACTCAAAATATTTCACAGTCATTTTTTTGTCTTTTAATTGAGATAAAATTTGCCTACCATAAAATTCACCACTTAAAAGACCGTAAGTCGGGGGTTTTAGTATATTCACAGAAATGTGCAGCTATCATCACCATCTAATTCCAGAATATTTTCATCACCCAAAAAAAGAAACTCCATGCCTATTGTCGGTCACCCCCCATACCCCTCTCCCCAGTCTTCCCTACCACTCCAAGCCCAGGAAATCACTACTGTTTCTGTCTTTATGGGTTTGCCTATTCTGGACATTTCATATAAATGAAGGCATTCTATTTGTGGTCCTTTGTGTCTGGCTGGGCTTTTTTTTTTCTTAGCATATGTTTTCAAGGGTCATCCCTGTTGTAGCATGTATCAATACTTCATTCTGTTATGGTTGAATAATATGCCATTGTATGGATAGACCATGTTTTGTTTACTCATTCTTCTGTTGATGGATATTTGGGTAGTTTCCACTCTTTCACTCTTAAGAATAATGCTGCAGCTGGGCGCAGTGGTGCATGCCTGTAATCCCAGCACTTTGGGAGGCCAAGGCAGGAGGATCACTTGAGCCCAGGAGTTTGAGATCAGCCTGGATAACATAGGGAGGCCCGTGTCTCTACAAAAAATAATTTTTAAAAAAATTCACCAGGTGTGGTGTCACGTGCCTGTGGTCCCAGCTACTTGGGAGGCTGAGGTGGGAGAATCACTTGAGCCTGGGTGGTTGAGGCTGCAGTGAGCCATGATCCCATCACTGCAGCCCAGCCTGGGCAACAGAGCCAGACCCCATCTCAGAAAAAAAGGGTAACGCTGCTATAAATATGTGTCTGTCTGTGCGTGTGTTTTCCATTCATTTCGCCTAGGAGTGGAATTTCTGGGTCATATGGCAATTCTACGTTCATAGTCATTTTGATTTCCAGCTAACAATACACACACTCACTTTCAGATTTGCCCAGAAGGCCAAGATGGAATAGAGATCAGGCAAGCATGTTGTACTTATGTATTTATACAGAGTCTTAGAATCATAAGGTTTTAGAAACAGAGAGAACTTTAGAGATCTTCTGATATAACCCTCATCAGTTCACAAATGAGGAAACCACGGTCCCAATTAAGCAATGTTTCCAGGTCACTGCATCAGTTAGGACCGATGTTCAGCTGCAAGCAACAATGGCAATGGGTTATTTTTTCCTCTCACTTAAAAAATATAATGTAGTGGCACACAGCCCGGGCAGTGTAGCTTCACAACATCCTCAGTGTACCCGACTCTTCTCTTTCTGCTCTTCTGAACACCACCAGTGGCTACCACCCTCAAGTTCTCCTGCTGCAGGATGGCCACTGCAGCTCTGATCATGGTACCTGGTTCCAGGTAAGACAGGGGAAGAACTGGGTGGGTAAAAAGTCACCTTCCAGCTGAGACAGCCATCTCTGCAGATCTGTGCCACGATCCCCTCAATGACTTCTGCTTGCATTTCCTTGGCCCCACCTTTCCCACAAGCTGACTGAGCAAGATAATCTTTGAGCTGGGTACATGATCTCCCCAACAATTTAAAGGTTCTGTTAGGAAGCAGAGAATGGGCACTGGACAGGTAAGCAGCAGTTTCGTCTATAAACAGACAGTGGCTAAGAAGTGACACTAACCCACTCTCTTAGCACGTCCTCCAGTGCTCTTTGTAAATGTAAGATTGCAGTGTTTCATGCTCAAGGAGCCCTCATTTTCTAAAACAGCCAAAGACTAAATGAAAGATTTCTTGGTCTGAATTTCTGAATCAAAATGTTTACTCTCCTTACATTTAGGTCTTTCTAACCTTTTTTTTTTTTTTCTTTGAGATGGAGTCTCGCTCTTGTCATCCAGGCTGGAGTGCAATGGTGCGATCTCTGCTCACTGCAACCTCCGCCTCCCAGGTTCAAGCAATTCTCCTGCCTCAGCCTCCCAAGTGGCTGGGATTACAGGCACCCACCACCACGCCCAGCTAATTTTTTGTATTTTTAGTTGAGATGGGGTTTCACCATGTTGGCCAGGGTGGTCTCAAACTTTTGACATCAGGTGATCCACCCACCTCGGCCTCCCAAAGTGCTGGGATTACAGGCATGAGCCACCATGTCCAGCCCTTTCTAACTTTTAGTCAACTGATGACAACTTCCCAGAAGTTGTCAGGTACACTGAGGATGTTGTGAAGCTACACTGCCCAGGCTGTGTGCCACTACATTATATTTTTTAAGTGAAAAGAAAAAAGTTACCCTCCCAGAACTTTTAGGGAAATTCCTTTCTATGATAGACAATGAAATGTTTATATCGGGTTATGCACTGAGCTTTTCCAAAATAGATATGTTCACTGTGACTTGCATGACTGACCATTGAGGAAAAAGAACCAAGACTACTTCGGTGAATTGTGTGGGAAGAGGACGCACCTGGGTGCATACTGGTCATGCGCGGCCATGGGACTGCATGGTCTCTCAGAGGACGATGTCCAGGGAAAAACTGGCAGACAACAGGGACTAAGGCAAGTCTGAGGGCTGGAGGGAAAGTCAGCGCCACAGAACATGTTAGATGCCCATGTTCAGAAGTGGCTGAAAATCTGGAAGGACAGCTGAGAGAGGCGAGCCTTGAGGGGTTAAGACGGGAAGATACAAGCGTTCAGCAGGTCCGATCATTCAAAGATAAGTCTCTGAAGAGCAAACTATACCTAAGGGAGGCAGAATGTATAGAAGCATCCTTACGACTTCTGCTTTCGTGTGAACCTCTAGGTAGACAGGCATGATTTGAGGATCTTGGTTTGCAGGAAAGGGGAAAGGAATCCACATTTACCAAGTGACTGCTATGTGCTAGGCATGTTACCATCGTCCATAGCGTCTGGTGGAAAAAGAGCTCAACTATGTCATTTATTAACTTTGGGAGCTTTTAACAAGCTACTTCCTCTCTCTAAATCCCTCTATAAAATAGAGTTCTCTGTATCTGCTTGTACAGGGGATAAAATGATATTAAGATATGTAGTGATAAGAAAGTAATAATAGTCAGTATATGTTGAACACGTGCCGTTTGTTGCATGTTTATCTAATTTAATCCTCACAAGAATACTGTGTAGTTTGGGTGCTTCTGATTGTGCCTGAAATCAATTCAAAACTTGCTTACAAAAGCGGTAAGGGTGGGAAATCATTGGCTCATGTAATTGAAAAGTCCACGGGTAGTTCTTTCAGGTTCTGGGAGCCTCTAATGATGTCATCAGAACTTTCTCTTTCTTCATTACTCTCTTGGCTTTGTAGTCCTCAGTTTTGTCTTTATTCTTTGGCAAGATCTCCCCAGATGGTGGCAACTTTAGGCCTGTATCACCCTATTGCTAGAGAAAAATCCATAGCTGGGCATGGTGGCATGTACCTATAGTCCCAGCTGCTCAGGAGGCTGAGGCAAGAGGATCACTTGAGCCCAGGAGTTCGAGGCCAGCCTGGGCAACGTAGCAAGACCCTATCTCAAAAAAATAAATATAAAAAGACTGGCAAGGACTGTGTCAGGTACCCATCCCTGAATCAGTCCTGTGGTCAGGGGAAGAGGGACAGTGACTGACTAGCCTGGATACTGTGTCCTCCCCTGAGGTGGATAAGGAAGGGCCAAGTGATCAGTAGTCTCATAATTTAGGAAACTGATCCTGAAAGAACTTGGGCTTAGACTAAGAAACTTGCCCTAGAATCATTCAGTGGAGAACCTGGAGAGAAACCCAAGGTTTCTGACTCCAGAGTGCATGATCTTTGCAATATAACACCAAAAAATGATTACAGCCAGGGAAGAGGATAGCCAGAGTGGCCACTGAGGGTGAGGCTCACTCAGAGATAAGCAGTCTTCAGGGGTTCCATCTTGCCCACAGGCTTAAGGCTAAATTCAAGGCCCTTGGCTACCTGGCACACCCCCTTTACCTCTTTTTTTTTTTTTTTTTTTTTTTTTTGAGATGGATTCTCGCTCTTTTAGCCCAGCCTGGAGTGCAAGGGCACAATCTCTGCCCACTGCAACCTCTACCTCCCAGGTTCAAGTGAATCTCCTGCCTCGGCCTCCTGAGTAGCTGGGATTACAGGCACCTGCCACCACACCCAGCTGATTTTTGTATTTTTAGTAGAGACGGGGTTTCACCATATTGGCCAAACTGGTCTTGAACTCCTGACCTCCGGTGATCCGCCCTCCTCAGCTTCCCAAAGTGCCGAGATTACAGGCGTGAGCCACCGCGCTCAGCCCCTTTACCTCTTAATACTCTCTGAAAACTTTCTGTATGAATCCTGTTTTCCCACTGCAAATACCCTCCTTTCCCATCTCCCACCGTCATCTTTTCATATGCCATTCTCCCTCCCTAGAATAGCCCACTTCATTTCTTCCCAAATGCCTCTCAGCTCTTACAGTCATGTTAAGGCTCCAACATTTTCGAGAAATCTTTCTTTACTCTGATGCTTTACATGGCACATTCTTTCCTTTTTTATTAGAATAAGAGCACACGTCTAGGACCCAGGCAATTCCAGTTCTGGTCATGACATTTTCGCTTCAATTTTGGCTATTGTTTATTGCTTCCCTGCTAAGAGTATTTTTTAAATTCCATTTTTATCTCCACTATTGGTTTATTTGTGTTTATGATTTTAGTGGTTGCTGTAAGGATTTAAATACACATCTTTAATCTATCACAATCTACCTTCCAGTTATACTTTACCACTTCATGCATAGTGTGAGACCCTTACAATGGTGTACTTCCATTAACCCCTCCTGTCTTCCATGCTTTTATAGCCATACTTTATTTTCACATACAGTTGGCCCTTAAACAACATGGGTTTGACCAGTGAAGGTCCACGCATACAAAGATTTTCTTCCATCTCTGCTGCCCCTGAGACAGCAAGACCAACCCTCCTCTTCCTCCTCTTCCTTAGCCACTCAACGTGAAGATGATGAGCATGAAGGCATTTATGATGACCCACTTCCACCTAATGAAATATTAAGTGGAGGCTGGGCACCGTGGCTCACGCCTGTAATCCCAGCACTTTAGGAGGCCGAGGTGGGCAGATCACGAGGTCAGGAGGTCGAGACTATCCTGGCTAACACGGTGAAACCCTGTCTCTACTAAAAATACAAAAAATTAGCCGGGCGTGGTGGTGAGCGCCTGCAGTCCCAGCTACTAGAGAGGCTGAGGCAGGAGAATCGCTTGAACCTGGGAGGCAGAGGTTGCACTGAGCTGAGATTGTGCCACTGCACTCCAGCCTGGGTGACACAGCGAGACTCCATCTCAAAAAAAAAAAAAAAAAGAAAAAAGAAATAGTAAGTGGAAGTGGATCATCATAGAGGTCTTCATCCTCATACATAATGAATGAATATATTTTCTCTTCCTATTAATTTCTTATAACATTTTTTTCTCTAGCTTGCCTTATTGTAAGAATATAGTATATAATACATATAATACGCACAATATGTGTTAATCAACTGTTTATGTTACCAGAACAGCTTCTGGTCAACAGTAAGCTATGAGTATAGTATTACTGGGAGGTAGACTGTTAAGTTTTTGAGGATTCAAAAGTTATATATAGATTTTCAACTAGGGGTAGGGCAAGTGCCCCAACCCCCACGTTATTCAAGGGTCAACTGTATTTTGAAAATATACATTGTTATTGCTTTTGCTCTAAACGAGGGGTGTCCAATCTTTTGGCTTCCCTGGACCATATTGGAAGAAGAGTTGTCTTGGGCCACACATAAAATACACTAACACTAAAGATAGAGGGTGAGCTAAAAAAAAATTGCAAAAAAACCCTCAAAATGTTTTAAGAAAGTTTATGAATTTGTGTTGGACCACATTCAAAGCCATCCATGAGTCATGGATTGGACAAGCTTGCTTTAAACAGTTATCATTTTAAAGATTAAAAACTAAGAAAAACACGTTCATCCACACATTTAAATTCCAGGTCTCCTCATTTGTTTGGGAGGATCCACATTTCCTTCCCCCTACAGAACCGAACTTCCTTTAACATCTCTTGATGTGCAAGTCAGCTGGCAATAAGTCTCTCAGCTTTTGTTGGGCTTTAAAGGCCTTTATTTTTGGGCAGATAGCTTGAGCTCAGGAGTTCAAGACAGCCTAGGCAACACGGCGAAACTCTGTCTCTACTAAAAATACAAAAATTATCTGGGCAGCCGGGCATGGTGGCTCAACACCTGTAATCCCAGCACTTTGGGAGGCCGAGGTGGGTGGATCACTTGAGGTCAGGAGTTTGAGACCAGCCTGGCCAACATGGTGAAACCCCATCTCTACTAAAAATACAGAAATTAGCCGGGCGTGGTGGTGGACACCCATAATCCCAGCTACTCAGGAGGCTGAGGTGGGAGAATCGCTTGAGCCTGAGAGGTGGAGGTTGCAGTGAGCCGAGATCGTGCCACTGAACTCCAGCCTGGGTGACAGAGTGAGACCCTGTCTCAAAAAAAAAAAAAATTATCTGGCCGTGGTGATGGTTCCTATAATCCCAGCTACTCAGGTGGCTGAGGCAGGAGAATCACTTGAACCCGGGAGGCAGAGGCTGCGGTGAGTCGAGATTGTGCCATTGCGCTCTAGCCTAGGTGACAGAGTAAAACCCTGTCTCAAAAAAAAAAAAAAAAAAAGCCTTTATTTTGCCTCATTTTTGAAAGATATTTTCACTGGATATAGATTTTTAGGTTGGCAACTTGTTCTCTGTCAGATATTCATAAAATAACATTGTCTCCTGACTTGTGCTGTATGAGATGAGCAGTCACTAGTCATTATTAATTTTGTTTGCCTTTATGTAATATTTTATTTTTCTGTCTGGCTGCTTTGAATGTTATCTTGTTCTCACTATTTTCCGGCAGTCTTAATATGATGTACATTGGTGTAATTTCCTCTGCATTTATTCTACTTGGGGATCACGGAGCTTCTTGAATCTCTGAGTTTTCAAGTTTATAAAATTTTCTACCATAAATTTTAAAAATATTTTTGTGGGTTCCCAACTTATTCTGAGATTTCAATTACATGTATTATGTATGTATTTTTTATTGTGTCTCACAGTTTGCTGTCAATCTGTTCATTTTTTGGTCAGTCTTTTTCCTCTCTGTGCTTCAAAGGTTCTCCTTCAAGTTCACAGACCTTTTCTGCAATGTCTAATCTGCTGTTAATCTTATATGGGTATTTTACATCCAGACATATTTTTAATCTTTAGAAGTTCTATTTAGGTCTTGAAAATGTTCCATTTCTTGCCTCTTCATGTTTTCCTCTGCCTTCTTGAATGTATGGAGCACCTTTATACCAGCTCCTTTATAGTCCTGATTTCATCATCTGTGTCATCTCTAGGTATATTTCTATTGAATTTTTTTTTCCTGGTTATGGGCCATATTTTCCAGTTGTTTTGCAACTTTCATTTGGATACCAGATGTTGTGAATTTTATGTTGGTGAGTGCTGGGTTGTGTTGTAGTCCTTTAAGCATTGTTGGATATTGTTCTGGCACTCAATTACATTACGTGGAATCAGTTGGGTCCTTTTGAAATTTGCTTTTAAGCTTTGCTAGAACAGGTCCAAAGTAGATTTTGTTCTAGGCATAATTTACGCCATTTATTTATTTTATTTATTTATTTATTTATTTAGAGATGGAGTCTTATTCTGTTGCCCAGGCTGGAGTACAGCGGCACGATATCGGCTCACTACAACCTCTGCCTCCCAGGTTCAAGTGATTCTCCTGCCTCAGTCTCCTGAGTAGCTGGGATTACAGGCATGCGCCACCTTGCCCTGCTAATTTTTGTATTTTTAGTAGAGACAGGGTTTCACCATGTTGGTCAGGCTGGTCTCGAACTCTTGACCTCGTGATCCACCCACCTCGGCCTCCCAAAGTGCTGGGATTACGGGCGTGAGCCACCGCACCTGGCCATTTACGCCCCTTATTAAGGAAATGCCCCATACATGATGAGGTGTTTCCATTCTGGCCTGTGTGAGCAGTGGGAATTGTTTGGTCTACTGCTTTCCAGCTGCTCTTCCCCTATTCTCACAGTTTCTTATCTTGCCTCTGCATATCAGTTGTCAGCTGAAGACCCAAGAGGACCTCTCTGCTGACCTCCAAGCTCTCTCTGTGAAGTTTCTTCCACTTCTGTATTCTGCTCTGTGTTTCTAGCTAACTCGAGTTCTCAGAATTCTAACTTGGACTTTGAATTCTGATTTCTGTATTTTCAACTCAATGAGACCACCAAACTCTGTCTGGGTTTCTCCCTCCCTGCACTGCAGCATGGAAAATACCTCCAGATAGTAAACTGGGGAAATTATATGGCTACCTCATTTGTTTCCCTTTTCTCTGGAGTCACTGTCATTCATTGCCTGATGTCCAATGTCTGCTGTCTTCCACCTATCCCGAAATTGGGTCATTTCTAAAGTCTCCTGAGTCTCATAGTTCCTACTGTCATGTTTCTATCTCATCATCCTTTTGCTTCAACAAATATCTGCTGAGTACCTACTATGTGCCTGACACAGTGCTAAGGATACGAATGTGGATAAACACGCTCCAGCCTCCAGGGGTTCCAAGCCAGCGGGGGAGAGAGACAGAAGCTCAGGTAAGCACAGGCAGCCTGCGCACGCACTGTGCACAGAAAACTCACTCATGTTGGCTGGAAATCAGGGTCACTTTCATACAGGAAGCAACATGGACATCCCCTAAACTAGCAAGTCTAATGGAATTCACATATTAATAAGAATCCGGGTTCTTGTAGGTGGATGGACTCAAACCATGGTTCTTGAAACAGCCAAGATGTGTTATTACTGAAAATGCAGCTGGATAATGAGGGCTGTCTCCTTCATGGAGCTCATGCTTCTCTCTGTCATCATTAGCCTGGCCTCCTTTCTTGTTTGTTTGTTTTCCTCTTCCCCTAGCAATGTTGACAGGTCTCTCTCTGGGAGGAAGACAGTATGGCTGTTGCCTGGTGTTGATCCCTAGCTCTTCCTCCCACAGGAGACACCAGATTAGAGCTTTCCATTCCTCTGCTGAAAGAGGAGGCTGCCAGGAGCCTTTCTGCATTCTTGACCTGTGACGTCCAGCCCCAGTCTTTGGCCATCCCATCCCCTGGGCAGGCTCGCAGGCTGGCACACAGACTGGCATCTCACACAATCATGCCCCTTTGTTTGGATTTTCTCATAAAAAGCCAAGCGGTTGATGTGTGTGCTGGCAGGAAAGAGGGCAGGCTGCCATCCGCCTGGCTTCACCCACAGCCGTCTCTGGGGGCAGACCCCCTTTAGAGGCCACCAGTGCTTCTGTCCTGCTTCTAGTCATCAGAACAGTTTTTGTTTTTTAAGTGTTGAACCCTGTATTCAATTATTCCAGGGTTCAGCTGGAAATTTTAAAAAGCCATAGAAGATGCAGTTATCTTTGGAACTTGCAGTCTTTCCTCAGTCCCTGCTGCTACAGCTTCCTCCAGGACCACAGGCTCCAAAGTGACCCCGAGACCAGGAGGTGGGAGAAAGAGGGGTGTGACCTAAAGAAGGCCTTCCCCTAGGGCAGTCCCACTAATGACCACGCAGAGGAGGATCCTGTTAAGGAGAAGCACAGCCTGAGGGTGGTGACTGAGGGAGCAGGAGGAGGAGGATGGAGAGTCCAGGAGAGAAGGGATGAGCAGGTTCCCAGCAGCCTCTCAGCCCTGCCCTCTGAGTGCCCTCTCATCACTACGCCAGCTTCCTTGGCTCATGCCTAGGCCCTGAGGAAACTCACTGCAGGGTCAGCCCTACTTCTGGCCTCTAGGGGTTCACTGACACCTCCATTCTTCATCCAAGTAAGGATGTAAGACAGTCCCATAAGATGAGGTTAGAGGCCGGGCCCAGTGGCTCACACTGAAATCCCAGCACTTTGGGAGGCTGAGGCGGGCAGATCACTTGAGGTCAGAAGTTCAAGACCAGTCTGGCCAACATGGCAAAACCCCATCTCTACCAAAAAATACAAAAATTAGCCGGGCCTGGTGGAGCACGCCTGTAGTTCCAACTACTCGGGAGGCTGAGGCACGAGAATCACTTGAACCTGGGAGAGGGAGGTTGCAGTGAGCTGAGATTGCATAGTACTACTGCACTTCAGCCTGGGTGAAAAAGTGAGACCCTGTTTAAAAAAAAAATTAATAAATTTAAAGAAGTAAGGTTAGAACAGCCCTGGAAGAATTGAGAGATTCTAAATCCTGGAAGCAAAGGACTTCCAAGCCACAGGATTCTTATCCTAGCTCAGCCTCCTACAGACTGGCACAGCTGGTCCTGTCACAGGCTTCCCCTCCTGCTTCCTCTTCCCTTCCTCAGCACTGTCTGGGTTGGGTGCAAGCAGGGGGTCTCAGTCGTGAGACCACAGCGGACCTGGGGTGAAGGCGCTTCTGGGCATGGGCCTCCTCCTTTCTCTCATTCCTGGACATAGCCCAAGGATGGACCTCGGCCTTCGGGTCCTGTATTGCTCCCTCAGTTATCTCTGGGCCACCGGTGATGGAGACACTTCCTCATGTAGACATTCAGCATTGTCTTTGGGGTGTTCCATCACCTTCAGTAGATCCTGGGGGTCTCTGTGGCCCTGGTCTGGGGCTCCTCACTGGCCTCATCCCGCTTCTCCTGATCCTGCTCAGGTTTCCTCGGGCAGAGCTGCTTGCCTGTGACAGTTCCAGCCTTCACTGAACTCCTCTGTCTGCCCCAGCAGCAGGGGCTACAGCCTGAGCCTGATTATGCTGGAGGTTATAGGGACTCAGTGGGCCACATCAGCTCCTGGGAACACATGCACCCCCAGCAGCACAGCCCTAACCTCATTAACTTATCTTAGAACCACTCATAAGTCTCTAGTTCCTCTGAGTGGTTTCTTTAGCTTATAGCTCATGCTCCCAGCAATAAACAAAAAGAGCTCGTTTGCTAAAGGTTCTGTGTGATTCTTGGAGCATCAAGCAGCTCTGCCCCCGGGGCCCAAATGATAAGCAGGCGTCACTCCACTCACATGCCCTGTGACTTGGCAAGCTCCTTAACCTCTCTGGGCTTTAGTTTCTTTATCTGTGAAATAGAAATTTCATCTGTGAAATAGTAACGATCATTATGATTCATAAGGTTAAATCCAAAAGAGTACCTAGAACAGTGCCTGGTGTATAGCAGTTCTTGACATTGTTGGTTATCATCGTTGTCATTGCTGAAGCCATTCAAGGCAGTGCAGAAGAATTCTCACCTCTTAGACAGAGTGCCCCGTAAAGCAAGCACCCTTGGGAGCCGTGGCTGGTGCCCAGGTCAGAGAGCAGGAAAGTGGGAATTCCATGTGGTAACTGAGTGAGGGGGAGTCATGAGTCACACTCTGGGGACTCTCCAAAGTACTAGGTTGAATCATATGAAATTGCTGGGGCTTTTGGAGAAAACCATAGGTTTCTATTAGTGTGGCCCCACTTGCAGTCTCAAGCAGAGGAGACTGGGAAAATACGGATTTCTCAGGTCTCCCACTCTTCCTACTTCTTCCGGGTTCTCCTGATGATTCATCTGCAGGGCGGAGCTTCTGAGTCTACACCCGGCTCCTCTAACCCTCAAGTGCCTACTCATCACCTGGGGATCTAGTTAAATGCAGATTCTGGCTTAGTTGGTCTAGGGCGGGGCCAGAGATTCTACATTTCCACCAAGTTCCCAGCTGATGCCGCTGCTGCCTGATCGTGCTGCGAGGAGCAGAGCTCTAGCATGTCGTCAGCAGGCCTTTGACTCATCCTAGCTCCAGAGATCCCAGAAGTCGCCCTTTCCCTTGCAGCCCCGGTAAATTAAAAACAGAATGAAACAAAGCTGCAGCAGGGCAGCAGCATCTGTGTCAAATTCCCCCACCCCACCTGTCTGGAGAGTTTCATAGGTGACACTTTTCGCTGCAGGCCCATTAAGCCTATTAAAAGGGATCTTTTTCCCTTTCCTTTCTTCACTGACCATTTGTTCAACAGATATTTACTGAGCACCCACCATTGACAGATACTACACTAAGAAGAGAGATTCCAATCTATGCTTTGTACTGCAGCCAGGGTGATTATCAGAATTGAAAACCTGATCCTGTTATTTCACTTCTTAAACTCTCATTTCCCTGAAGTATAAAGTGCAAGTGTCCTAATACAATGCTGAATACCCTCTGAAAGCAGACTTCTACCCTGATTGACAGTCACCCTACCTCTAGCCCTACCCAGTACCTGAAAGCTTCCCCTGCTCCCTGCTGACCAGCCCCCAAGCTTGGGCTCCTGCTCTCTCTCTCTCTCTCTCTCTCTCTCTACCTCACTCTTCCGAGCCTGCCCTTGCCACCTCATCCATCACTCATCCTTTTCAAGATAAAGCTCCCCACCACGCCGTTCAGGGAGTCTTCTCGGAACCGAGGTGGATTTCCTAAGCCCCCTTGGTTCTGACAACTTTACATAGAAATTCTGTCAGTTCCTTTCTCCACAAAACTTTAAGTTTCTCAGACATAGAGAAATGTCTCAGTCATTTCCCCATCAGCCAGTTTTGGCGGAGCTGCATTTCGGTCTAAGCGCTATGCTGCCTGGTAGGAATTCCTTCTTGCCTGCAAGTTTTCCCGTCTCAGAGGTTCATGGCCCCGACCTGCTTCCAGTCATTAGTGTTGGCTCCCAAGCAGCTGGCAAAGGGCTGGGTCACAGATTGCTGAGGGATGGAAAAGGATCCAGGGCAAATGTGCGTCATCCGTGGTATGCAATGTTTTACAGCTCAGCTATGGAGACAGAATCAGTAACAGCCCATCAGGAAAGGGTGAGGAGAATACCAAGGAAGCAAGAGAAGGACAGGAGGAAGGGTCACTGATGTCTCCCGAGAACCACGGTACCCTTAGAAATGCAGTGTGCTGGGGAACCTTAGATACACTCCCACCCTGAAATTCTCTCAACTGTGGATATAATGAGATGAAAAGGGAATCCAAACTCTTTGCAGCTTCTAAAACGAGTCCCATCTTGCTTCGCCTAATGTTTGGAAGGGCTAATCTTCCCTAATTTGGCAGCTGTTGCAACCATTTCACTTTCGTGTCACTGAATTGCTAAAAATCTTTCTTTTCTTTGACACAGAGTCTTGCTCTGTCGCCCAGGCTGGAGTGCAGTGTTGTGATCTCAGCTCACTGCAACCTCCACCTCCCGGGTTCAAGTGATTCTCCTGCCTCAGCCTCCCAAGTAGCTAGTAGCATGTGCCACCACGCCCAGCTAAATTTTGCATTTTTAGTAGAGATGGGATTTCACCACATTGGCCAGGCTGGTCTTGAACTCCTGACCCCAGGTGATCCACCCATCTTGGCCTCCCAAAGTGCTAGGATTACAGGCATGAGCCACTGTGCCCAGCCAAACCTTCTTTCTTTTATGAGAGAAGAGTTTGAGAAAATATTTGACTTTTTTGTTCTTCTCTTGAAATCCCAACCTCTGTTACAAATCACACACATACACACACACACACACACACACGCACCCAAGCACACACACAGCAACACTAAACAAAGACATTTTTCTTTTTTTAATTTTATTTAAGAGTAAGGGTCTCACTCTGTCATCCAGGCTGGAGTGCCGTGGTGCCATCACAGTTCACTGCAGCCTCAATCTCCTGGGCTCAAGTGATCCTCCTCCTGTCTCAGCCTCCCAAGTAGCTGGGACTACAGGTATGCACCACCACACCTAGCTAATTTAAAAAAAAAATTGTAGAGACAGGGTCTCCCTATGTTTCCCAGGCTGGTCTTGAATTCCTGGGCTCAAGCAATCCTCCCACCTTGCCCTCCCAGTGTTGGGATTACAGGTGTGAGCCACCATGCCTGGCTCCTAAGACATTTCTCTAGGTTATAAAATGGAACCAGCAAAATTGTAACATAATGAAGACTTGAAGTCATCGACTTTGAAGTGCAAACATATAAACTTCCATGAAACCATCTCTCCAGGGTCATGATCAAGAAGAAATATGTGCAGTGTGTTCTGGTGTCGAGAGGGGCAGGGAAGGGAGACTATTAAACCTACTTTTGATGTTTTGGTATTGCATTGCTTTTGTAATTCAAATGCCTGAAAGGAAGAATGATCTTTTAATCCCACTGGCAACAGTGGAGAGACGTGTGTCCTTCAGCATCTCCAGGCATATTTGACATCTGCCTCATCCACTGGCCTGTCATCTCTTTGGCTCCTGAGCTCTTTGCCTTGTTCCCCCGACCCTTGGCCCCCATTACAAACACGTTGGCAGTCACTCTATCTGGGTAAAGCCAATGGCACATTAGAAGGCAGTTCTGATTTTGAAGAGGGTGCTAACATGGCATTAGAGTATTTTAGTCCATTCAGGCTGCTATAACAAAATACCCTAGGCTGAGTGACTTATAAACAACAGAAATTCACTTCTTATGGTTCTGGAGGCTGGAAGTCTGAGATCAGGGTGCCAGCATGGTCGGGTCCTGGTGAGGGCGCTCTTCTAGGTTGCAGATGGCCACCTTCTCCTTGTGTCCTCACATGGTAGAAAGACCCGGAAAAGAGAGTTCCCAGGTTTCTGTTTTATAAAGACACTAATCCCATTTATGAGGGTTCCACCCCCATGATCTAATCACCTTCCAAAGACCCTATCTCCTAAGACTATCACTTTGGAGGTTAGGATTTAAACATATGTATTTCGGGGGGATACAACATTCAGTCTATAACATAGAGTGATGGCTTGCAAAGGAAAATCTGGTGATGATGGGAAGGACAGACAAGAAGGGCCAGGAACTGAAATCAGGGAGACTAACTGGTTCAATCAGTTTTCTAGGTCATGTGTGAATCATCGTGGTGGCTGCGCTGGGCTAGCACATTCAGCATATGCTTCATTAACACAACACATTTTCTTAAGACTCCCACGGTGGCCAACTTAAGGAAAAAAGTGAAACCCAATAGTCTGAAGCTCATAGTGTGCATAGCAGACATGACGCAATGTGGAGTGAAAGCTGCCTAAGGAAAGAATTGAACACAATGTTGTAATCCCCATAGGGCCTAAACACTGGCAGTATGGGAAGACTGGCTGGTGCTTCTCTCCTTCCTCTATATGTCACCAAGCAAGAACCTCTGGACTAGCCTCTAAGTTAGGGGACAGGGCAGGAATGGATTTGTGGACTCCCAAATCTGATTAAAATAAGAGCCAGAGGCGGGTCATGGTGGCTCACGCCTGTAATCCCAGCACTTTGGGAGGCCAAGGCAGGTGGATCACCTGAGGTCAGGAGTTCGAGACCACCCTGGCCAACATGGTGAAACCCCTTCCCTACTAAAAACACAAAAATTAGCTGGGCTTGGTAGCAGGTGCCTGTAATCCCAGCTATTTGGAAGGCTGAGGCAGGAGAATTGCTTGAACCCAGGAGGCAGAGGTTGCAGCAAGCCAAAATCCCACCATTGCACTCTAACTGGGCAACAAGAGCAAGGCTCCATCAAAAAAAAAGGCCGGGCACGGTGGCTCATGCCTGTAATCCCAGCACTTTGGGCTACTAAAAATACAAAATTAGCCAGGCATGGTGGCACATGCCTGTAATCCCAGCTACTCAGGAGGCTGAGGCAGGAGAATCACTTGAACCTGGGAGGCGGAGGTTGTGGTGAGCCAAGATCGCAACACTACACTCCAGCCTGGGGAACAAGAGCAACACTCCATCTCAGAAAAGAAAAAAAAAAAAAAAGAAAGAAAGAAAAGAAATAAGAGCCAGAGTCAAGGTCAAGCCATTGTCAGGCAGACCATGGAGAAGACAGTGCAGCCTGTAGTCCAGACGTTATCCAGAGACTCCAGGGCCTAGGAACTACGACTGCATCTTTGGTAATCTCTGGGTCCCTGGAGGGCTTGCCAGCCTCGACTCCAGCCTTGGAAGTTATGTTAGCACCGCCAGCCACGGTGGCAAGTCTGGAGTTGCTGAGGTGTCAGCTAGGCTCTTCAAATTTGATCTAGACCCTATTTGGAGGGTGGGTGTGCCTGAAGATGTATATTTTACTCCCTTTTCTCCTCACGCTCACTTTAAAATCTACCCACATATTTACCATTTCCAGTGATCTTTGCTATTTTGTGTAGATCTGAGTTTTACTCTGGTTTCATTTTTCTTTAGCCTGAAGAAGTTCCTTTAACATTTATTGTAGTAAGATCTGCTGGCGATAAATTAAGTCATGATTATCTTCAAACGTCTATTTCACCTTCCTTTTTGAAGACCATTGTGACTGGATTGAGACTTTTAGGTGGGCTTGATTTCAGCATTTCTAGATGTTGATTCATTGCCCCCTTGTTTGCCGGGTCTGTGGTAAGAATTCAGCAGACATTCATAGCCTGATTTTACCACTAGTTTTCATCAATATGGCTATGAGTATGTTGCCTTGATGTAGTTTGTTGCTGTTGTTTTCTGTCTATCCTGCTAGGCTTTGTTGAGATTTTTGGACCTATGAATTGATATTTATCATCAAAACTGGAAAAAATTTTAGCCACAGTTTTTTCATACATTTTCTGCCTCTCTCTCTTGGGATTCTAATTATATGTATGGTTGAGATTGTCTCATAGAGAACTGAAAGTATGTTCATTTTTAAAAGTCTCTTTCCTCTTTCTGTCTTTCAATTTGATCATTTATATTTTCATGTCTTTAACTTCACTTTTCTCCAGTGTCCAGTACTCTGTTAGGACCATCTAGCAAAATTTTCATTTCAGATATTGTGTTTTCAGCTCTAGAATTTTTTTTTTTTTTTTTTTTTTTTTTTTAAGATGGAGTCTCACTCACTCTGTTGCCCAGGCTGGAGTACAGTAGCATAATCTCGGCTCACTGCAACCTTCACCTCCTGAGTTCAAGTGATTCTTCTGCCTCAGCCTCCTGAGTAGCTGGGATTACAGGCGTGTGCCACCACGCCTGGCTAATTTTTGTATTTTTAGTAGAGATGGGGTTTCCCCATGTTGGCCAGGCTGGTCTTGAACTCCTGACCTCAAGTGATCCACCAGCCTGGGCCTCCCAAAGTGCTATAATTACAGGTGTGAGCCACTGCGCCCGGTCTCAGCTCTAGAATTTTCATCTTTTTTATTTTTAGTTGAGATATAATTAACATACCATAATATTGATTATTTTTATGTCTACCATTTATCTCCTCATTGTGTTCAAGTTTTACTTTGAATTCTTTAGTATATTTATGTTAGCTGTTTAAAAATTTTTGTCTGATAATTACATTTTTCCCCCATCATTTCTGGTTGTTTTTCTACTGACTTGATTTTTCTCCTGATTATGGGTCAGATTTTCCTACTTTTTGGCATGTCTAGCATCTTTGGATTGAATGGTGGACGTTTTGAATGTTTCATTGTTGAACATCTGAATGTTGTTGTCTTCTTTTAACGAGCATTGAACTTGGTTCTTGCAGGCAGTTAATTTACTGCACGCATAGTTTTATCAGTATGATCCTTCTGTGGCTCATTTTTAAGCTCTGCTAGAGTGGATCTACCGTCATCTCTATGCTAGCACTACTTTACTTACATTCTTGAGGGCTGATCTCTCTGTGGTTTCTAATGAATGTCCTGGGTGTTCATTAAGATAGCCCCACGTAACTGCCAGAGCTCAAATGTCTGCAGCATTGTGCAAGCTACAACTACCCAGGAGCTGCTCTTTCCCTCGTAGTTGTTCTTTGCACAGCTTGTAGAATCTCACCTGGACATCACAACCTAGCATTCAGCCAAAATCTTCAAGGGTACTATGCATATTTATGGAGCTATTTATTTGCATATCTCTAAAAACTCAACCCCCTCAGCCTTCAAACACCTGTTTCTGTCTCCTCAGCTCAACAAGACTGCTGTGCTCCACTTGGATTCCTTTTCTCTGTACATGGCTTAGAAAGTTCCTCAGGCAGAATGGTGGAGTGATTGCAGGCTCACCTCATTGTTTCCCTTCTTCAGAGATTACAGTCATTATGTTTCTATTTTCCGAAGACCAAAACCAGTTGTTTCATGTATTTTGTCCAGTTCTCTAGTCATTTATAGTCGATCTGGTTTCTCCTTCTCCTCCTTTTTTGAGACAGGGTCTTGCTCTGTCACCCAGGCTGGAGTGCAGTGGTGCAATCACAGTTCACTGCAGTCTCAACCTCCCAGGCTCAAGCAATTCTCCCACATCAGACTCCCAAGTAGCTGGAACTATAGGCATGCATTAGCATGCCTAATTTTTGTATTTTTTGTAGAGACAGGGTTTCAGTATGTTGCCCAGGCTGAGCTCAACCAATCCATGCACCTCAGCCTCTCAAAGTACCAGGATTACAGGTGTGAGCCGCACCCAGCCTGTATCAGTTACTCCTATACACCCTTCTTAATAAGGCCTTTTTTGGGGTTATTGTAAAAATAAATAGCACACTGGTTCTGGAAAAGGTTTTCCTTGCTTTTGAAAAATCAGTGGGGCCAGGCGCAGTGGCTCACGCCTGTAATCCAACACTTTGGGAGGCTGAGGTGGGTGGATCACCTAGGTCAGGAGTTTAAGACCAGCCTAACCAACATGGTGAAACCCCATCTCTACTAATACAAAAATTAGCAGGCATGGTGGTGCGTGCCTGTAATCCCAGTTACTCGGGAGGCCCAGGCAGGAGAATCGCTTGAACCCAGGAGGCGGAGGTTGCAGTGAGCCGAGATCACACCATTGCACTCCAGCCTGAGCAACAAGAGCAAAACTCCATCTCGAAAAGAACAAAAAAGACCCAGCACTTTGGGAGGCCGAGGCGGGCGGATCACGAGGTCAGGAGATCGAGACCATCCTGGCTAACACGGTGAAACCCCGTCTCTATTAAAAATACAAAAAATTAGCCGGGCGTGGTGGCGGGCGCCCGTAGTCCCAGCTACTCGGGAGGCTGAGGCAGGAGAATGGCGTGAACCTGGGAGGCGGAGCTTGCAGTGAGCAGAGATCGCGCCACTGCACTCCAGCCTGGGCGACAGACCCAGACTCCGTCTCAAAAAAAAAAAAAAAGAAAGAAAGAAAAATCACTTTTTTGGACAAATAGGACAAAAAGAAATAGTGCCTTTTCTGCCTTTGGAAACTTACGATGCCAGGAACTGTTGCTGCAGTTTTTTCTCTCTGTCATTTCTGTGTGTCCATTTGGTACCATGTGGGGTAGGGGGGGTGCTGCTGTCTAAGAGAGCAAGTCCATATGCTGAGAATGGCAGAGTAAACAGATACAAAACAACTGGGTCCGGGGGAGCATCAGTGAGATGGTGTGGTAACCAGCCCTGAAGCTGCATGAAGTCTACACCAGCGATTCTCAAACTGTTTGGTCTCAGGACCCCTTTACACTCTTAAAATTACTGAGGACCCCAAGAAGCTTTTGTTTATATGGGTTATATCTATCAGTATTTATTATGTTATTAATTGAAACCAAGAGAAATTTTAAATATATATTTATTAATCCATTAAAAATAAACCAATTTAATAATAAATATATTTTTGTGAAAAAATTGTATCTTTCTAAAACAAGAAATAACTTAGCGACAAGTGGCATTGTTTGACATTTTTGCAAATCTCATTAATGTCTGGCTTAATACAACACAGCTGGATTCTCATGTCTGCTCTTGTTTATTTTTATTTTTTCCTTTGTCAAGATGGGGACAAGGCTGGTTTCAAACTCCTGGCTTCAAACGCCCACTTCAGCCTTCCAAAGCACTGGAATCACAGATCTGAGCCACAGGGCCCAGCCTCATGTCTGTTCTTGTATTCGATCTGTTTTGGTATGTTGGTTTGGTTGAAGTATATTAAAAAAAAAAAATCTAATTTCACCCAGATATGTCGTAGCAAAATGAGCAGTATTTTTATGTCTTTCCAGGTCATTGTAGATATTCTTTGTTGATACTACACTAAGAATGTAACAAGTGGTAGCTCCTTAAAGGTCATTTGCAATGTGGAGTCTGAAATTATCTCCAAAAATGATTTATACACTATGGCAGAGATCAGCAATTTTTTTTCTGGAAAGGGCCAGATAGTAAATATTTTCCACTTTGTGGGCCATACAGTCTCTATCACAACTGCTGGACTCTGCTGGTGTGGCACAAAAGCAGCCACAGACAATGCATGAACAAATGAGTGTAGCTGTGTGCCAATAAAACTTTATTCACAACACATTTGGTAATAAAGTTTTTTGTAAATAAACACTGACTTCTGCTCTGTTACATTAAAGTTCATCTGCAACTTGCACATGGAATGGATGATTTTGACCATGTAGTGCCTTGAAAGGGTTTCAGGGACTTCCAGGCATCACTAGACCATGTTTTGACAACTACCACCATAATGTTTTTGTTGTATGAGATCACAAGTCCCTTATTATTAAAGTCACTTTCAGTTGGGTTTTCTGTTACTTACAGCCAAACACATCATAGCTGATAAACTAGGAGTACCTTCACAAGCCAGAAATCTGCATACTGGTTTCTATCTTGGATCCTGGGAAATGGTAAACCCAACCACATTGACACCCACCAATTTGATGTGCCAGCGGTAGAGTAGAAATAGCAAGACACATGTTTAGGCTCAAAGGTACCAGGGCAGCCTCATGGAGCCTCACTGGGTTCCAGGACATTGTGGGAGAGATTTGAAGAGTTTTCCCTATTTTCACTTGGAAGAGCACAGAGGTAGCTGAGAGAAGGCCAGGAGAACCAAAGATACCTCATTATCTAGACAATGGGAGAAAGCAGGGTATGTCAGCATGGAATTTATTATGGAAGACTCTAGGGGAATGTGGGCATCTCATCAGGGGCCAGCACGGATTGATGGCAGTGAAGAAGGAATGCAACCTCCCTCCCCTGCCATTACTCTGGCATCACACACACCTTCCCTAACTTCACGTCAACCTCAGATAGACAGAGAAGTTGACTAAGGGTCTCCTGGATTGATAAAGATTAACCAACATTGACTAAGTTGAAGTTGTTGCTGCCAAACAGAAGAAGCCTCTTGAGTTAGAAATTAAGGTCAATTTTAGGAAAGCTTTAAAATTTTTTATACACCTGTATTTATGTACTAAACATTCATATTGTCCAACAATAGATGTCATCAAATTAAAAAATTTTGCCAACTTGATGAAAAATGATATCTTATCCTTTAATTTATATTTCTTAATTATCAGTGAGGATGAGCATCATTTATATTATCGAGGGCATTTATTTTTAAATCCACCATAGTGATTTTGAACCCAGTGTGATTAATTTTTGTAGTTTAGGATATAGTACTATTGAATCTGCAGACCCACCTATGTGTGCAGACACGGTGCTGCCACTTCCACCTGCAAAGTGAGTAGTTTACAGATTGGCAAGCACTGAATAGGCCACCCAGGAGACATATTCCTTAATTCCAGTTGACCTTCTTCCCTTCCTGTATGGTAACACAGTCTATCAGGGAAGTTACACTCCGTTTTCATATGCGCATCGGCCTGCCCAAGCCTCCTGCTCACGTGGTTGGCTGGTTCCTGGAAACAAAGCCAAGGCACTAGGTGCAGTGGCATCCTAGTGTCACTTCCAGCATTTCTCTTCTACTTCCCAAGGTGAGATAAAATCAACACATACTTCTTTGAATCTAGACACCATGTGAACAGAAGCAATAATTCTTAATGTTGTGCTATTTCTTTTATTTATTAAGACAGCCTCAGTTTGCTGGCCAGCAGAGGTAATACCCACTTATAAATTCCTTTCATTAAAAACCAAAATGGACACAGGGTAAAGAAAGCTACATCAAACCCCACCACTCTAACACAACTGTTAGTTTCATTTTTTATATCAACACCTAGTCCTCACTCAACTACATAGATATTTTACATACTTACAATGCTGTATCATTAACTAAGGATCTCCCCCCGAGCATTGAACATCAGTCTGCTATATTTAGTCTACAAACATTATAATTTATAAAAATAACAATATTTTGGTACCAGTACCATGCTGTTTTGGTTACTGTAGCCTTGTAGTATAGTTTGAAGTCAGGTAGCATGATACCTCCAGCTTTGTTCTTTTGGCTTAGGACTGACTTGGCGATGCGGGCTCTTTTTTTGGTGTTGGAACAGAACAGAGCCCTCAGAAATAATGCCGCATATCTACAACTATCTGATCTTTGACAAACCTGAGAAAAATAAGCAATGGGGAAAGGATTCCCTATTTAATAAATGGTGCTGGGAAAACTGGCTAGCCATATGTAGAAAGCTGAAACTGGATCCCTTCCTTACACCTTCTACAAAAATTAATTCAAGATGGATTAAAGAATTAAACGTTAGACCTAAAACCATAAAAACCCTAGAAGAAAACCTAGGTATTACCATTCAGGACATACGCATGGGCAAGGACTTCATGTCTAAAACACCAAAAGCAATGGCAACAAAAGCCGAAATTGACAAATGGGATCTAATTAAACTAAAGAGCTTCTGCACAGCAAAAGGAACTACCATCAGAGTGAACAGGCAACCTACAAAATGGGAGAAAATTTTCGCAACCTACTCATCTGACAAAGCACTAATATCCAGAATCTACAATGAACTCAAACAAATTTACAAGAAAGAAACAAACAACCCCATCAAAAAGTGGGCGAAGGACATGAACGGACACTTCTCAAAAGAAGACATTTATGCAGCCAAAAAACACATGAAAACATGCTCACCATCACTGGTCATCAGAGAAATGCAAATCAAAACCACTATGAGATACCATCTCACACCAGTTAGAATGGCAATCATTAAAAAGTCAGGAAACAACAGGTGCTGGAGAGGATGTGGAGAAATAGGAACACTTTTACACTGTTGGTGGGACTGTAAACTAGTCCAACCATTGTGGAAGTCAGTGTGGCGACTCCTCAGAGATCTAGAACTAGAAATACCATTTGACCCAGCCATCCCATTGATGGGTATATACCCAAAGGACTATAAATCATGCTGCTATAAAGACACATGCACATGTATGTTTATTGCGGCACTATTCACAATAGCAAAGACTTGGAACCAACCCAAATGTCCAACAACGATAGACTGGATTAAGAAAATGTGGCACATATACACCATGGAATACTATGCAGCCATAAAAAATGATGAGTTCATGTCCTTTGTAGGGACATGGATGAAATTGGAAATCATCGTTCTCAGTAAACTATCGCAAGGACAAAAAACCAAACACCACATGTTCTCTCATAGGTGGGAATTGAACAATGAGAACACATGGACACAGGAAGGGGAACATCACACTCTGGGGACTGTTGTGGGGTCGGGGGAGGGGGGAGGGATAGCATTAGGAGATATACCTAATGCTAAAAAAAATATATATATATATAGTGGATTTGTGTAATCCTTGGTCCTTGGCTACTGTGGAATTCAACCATCATCACGTTTCTATTTTCTTTTCTTTTTTTTTTGAGATGGAGTTTCACTCTTGTTGCCCAGGCTGGGGTGCAGGGGCATAATCTCGGCTCACCGCAACCTCCACCTCCTGGGTTCAAGCGATACTCCTACCTCAGCCTCCCGAGTAGCCAGGATTATAGGTGTGTGCCACCACGCCCAGCTAATTTTGTATTTTTAGTAGAGACGGGGTTTCTCCCTGTTGGTCAGGCTGGTCTCAAACTCCCGACCTCAGGTGATCTGCCTGCCTCAGCCTCCCAAAGTGCTGGGATTACAGGCCTAAGCTATCACACCCAGCCCACATTTCTATTTTCTAATTTATTTATACTTTCATTTATTCAACAAATATTTATGGGGCTAGGCACCAGGGGTGCAAATATAAATAAAGACACTGTTCCTGCCCTTATGGGTCTTACAGTCTAGGATGAGAAATAGACATCATCATCTAATTTTTATGCCTTTATTTATTTGAGTTATGTATTCATAATATATTTTCACGAGCATCAAAATACAGAATACCTATTTTTTTCATGCTAATTATGAGCAAGTAGCCACATATGTGTTTTGGTTGGTTGCATTACTTTCTCAAGGCTACAAAAGCAGGACCATGCAGGATCTAGAAGACTTGCTGTCCATTTTTGCGGTATAATCTCTAGATGGCACATGCTCCCACTTCTGGCCACAGGATGGGTTGTCAGATAAAACATTCTTTCGAATGAGAAAAACAATTAAGCATTGAAAATGTGAGAACAAGAAAACATAAGATAAAAATAGAATTCGCCAGCCTGTTTTATGAAATATCTGTTTAACTCGTTGAATTTAAAGGTAGCAGTTTACCATATTCCATCCTGTCTGGACTGTACTACATTTAGGATGAGAAGTCAGCAAAGTAGTAGTAACTAGCTGTATCACTTATTCTAGTTTTGAACTCTAGGCCATTTGTGAAGAAAACCGGAAAACTGCTTCATGTTTCAAGCCTAGAATCAATCATTAACCCGTTTGGAAAAACTTCAAAAATTTATTTTTAAAAAGCCTTATAACCTACAAGTTGAAAGAATAGCACAGCCAGTCTCTGCATACCCTTCCTCTGCCTTCAGTAGTTTTTAACATTTTGCCCATTTTGCCACGTTTGTGTGTAAGCTTTTTTTTTTTTTTTGCTGAATTATTTGAAAGTAGATTGCAGACATCACGACGCTTCACCCTAAATGTTTCAGCACGCACCTCCTGGGGACAAAGGCATTCTCTGATGTAACCACAGTGGCAGCACCACACCCGAAAAATGTATCACTGGTATTCAATAGGGCCACCTCATATCCAGCCACTAGCTGTGGCACCCTGGGATTATGTCAGCCCTGCCCTGCTGCTTGGGCACTGAGCCCTGTCCCTGCCCTGTCCCTGCCCCATCCAGAACTAATAGTGTGACTTGGTGCACCATCATGTCCAGAGACGGAGCCTGCTGCCTTCACCCACCAGCTCAAACCGCTAGATCCAGTGTCTTCCCGATGAATATCTGTGTCTGCCCTTCCCCATCCCTGGGGGCCAGCACCACAGCTAGTGTAGTCGGCTGCCTCTTGATGGCGACCTACGCCACGCTGCAGCTGACCATGGATATTTGAAAGGGGCAAGTGAAGATGTTAATCATTGAGATGGCTTGGATTTGTGTCCCTGCCCGAATCTCCTGTTGAATTGTAATCCTCAGTGTTGGACGAGGGGCCCTGTGGGAGGTGACTGGATCATGGGGGCAGATGGTGACTGGATCATGGGGGCAGATGTCCCCCTTGCTGTTCTTGTGTTGGCGAGTGAGTTCTCGCGAGATCTGGTTGTTTGAAAGTGTGTAGCACCTCCCCCTTGGCTCTCTTCCTCTTTTTCCTGTCATGTGAAACATGCCTGTTTCCCCTTTGCTTTCTGCCATGATTATAAGTTTCCTGAGGCCTTCCCAGCCATGCTTCCCGTACAGCCTTCGGAACTGTGAGTCAATTAAACCTCCTTTCTTCATAAATTACCCAGTCTCAGGTAGTTATTTACAGCAATCCCAGAACAGACTAATACAACCATACATAATATGACTGGCCACTGACATTTCCAACCTGTTCTTTGCACAGAATATTGCCGAGAAAAATGGCTTTCAGCAACACCCACGAGCTTGAATGTCATTAATATTTATTTCGGAAGAGAGCAGCTCATAAAAGCAAAGTGCCTTTGAGCTTCTCAGTAAAGTATAGAGGCAATGCTTCGGTTGGATGGAGATCAAATTGTTAAAGGCGGTAAGGGAGTGGGCTGCCGTGACCCTCATTTCCCTCGCTCACTTAGTCCTTCAACCTAGACCTGTCTCTTGCAACAGGGAAAGGAGAGCAAGTTCTTTACGTCTCTGTGGCCCCCTGCAGAGACCATCACAGGACGGAGCACAATAAGCAAAGAAGCCACACCAAGATGAATAGACCTTGTGACCCAGAGTCATGCCGGCCCTGGGCCTTGTCCTGGCCAGTCCCAGGGCCGGGGACCGGCAAGGACTCTGCAGAGCCCTTTGCCTATCAGGGGAGTGGGTGGGTTGCTCAGATCCTGGCGTTTCTCGAGGGGCACAGGCTCATGTGAACAAGGAGGAGTACTCACTCCTTGCTGCGAGAACAAAAAGCCTGGGAGAAAAGGAAAAGGCAGGGGAGTGAATAAAAATAGAAACAGGCTCAGTGCTCTGACAGGCAAGATCCTCAATGAATCGGGCCCTTCAGTGAGTGGAAATATCTCATTTGAACTAGAATCCCACGGATAAGCTTTGGGGCTGTTTTCGCCACATTAACGCCCTGACAAAGGCCTGCACTATTGTTGATGCAGGAAATGAGAGGCGCTGGCTGGATTCCCCCTTCCTCCCTATTTATGCAGACGGTCCTGGAGGCTGTGTGGTGGTTACCTAGGAAACAGCTTGGATGTGAAACTTCAGAAACTGTGCTGTCAGGCAGCAGGGGATGCGATTGCTGATTTTTTGCTGGCATTGTGTGATGCCAGGCCATTTTATTAACCCCTCTGAACCAGCTTCCTCACATGTAAGCAGGAGATAATATCTACCTCTTTGTGTGTGTGTGTGTGTGTGTGTGTGTGTGTGTGTAGCACCATAGCTGGTTGTAGAACCCAGAAGACGTTCAATGTAGATGTTTTCCCCTTCTCTTCTACCCATCTCACAAGCTTGCTGCACTTAACAGGCACCACTGAATAAATAGGATATAGATATGATATAGAAACAGCTTTGGCAATGAACGAGAAGTTTATTGAATTACATTTAAAGCGTAATAAGGAAGTTCCTTATATGGTGCTAGATGATCCATCTTTTGTAAATTGAAAAGTCATTTAAGATACAAATACTTCTAATTCGTCACTTTGGTAAGCTTAAAAATTTTTAAATGTAGGCCGGGCGCCGTGGCTCACGCCCGTAATCCCAGCACTTTGGGAGGCCGAGGTGGGTGGATCACGAGGTCAGGAGATCGAGACCATCCTAGCTAACACAGTGAAACACCGTCTCTAAAAATACAAAAAAAAAAAATAAAAAATTAGCCAGGCTGGTGGCGGGTGCCTGTAGTCCCAGCTACTCATGAGGCTGAGGCAGGAGAATGGCGTGAACCCGGAAGGCGGAACTTGCAGTGAGCTGAGATTGCGCCACTGCACTCCAGCCTGGGCCACAGAATGAGACTCCATCTCAAAAAAAAAAAAAAAAGTTAAATGTAATAGTCTGGATGTTCTTTGAATAAGCACAGCCACACAGTAAGTGTTGAGGGGCCTCATAACAAGCACCCCTTTTGGAGATGAGACCCAAAAGAGAGAGGGTGTGGGAGTCACATCTAGCAATAGCGAAATGCCTGCATAATCGCCGATGAAATCCATGTTACCGAGTTGGGCAGCAACAATAGGCCTTTCAGTGTCGCCCTCCTACCCCCGAACTGGAGAGACTTCACACGCCCCCCGCAGACAGTGCTGGGTGACTGTGGCCACTGCCGGCCTCAGCACTGAGCTCCCGGATCCGGCTTTTGCTGCACGGCACGGGAGCCCCAAGCACACGCTGTCTGCAGGCCGACCGCGGTGAGGTTCAGCAGTATAACTAGAGGTTGTTGACCAAGTGAGCATTAAAGATTTCAAAGAAGTCAAAACTAGAAGCTTCCAGTTTAACAAAGCAGATGTTACATGGACCACAGACTCCCCCTTCATATTCTCCCAGCTGCTGGGAGTTGGGGCCGCTGCTGGCCCTCAGAGAGCCCCTCTCTTAGAGTCGTCTTCAGCTAAAGTGAGCAGCCCACCCACAGTCACAGCCCCTCCTCAGGGACGGCTTAGGGCAAGTGCTGGGCCCTGGGGGATAGTACAAAGGTTTAGTTCCCTTGCCTCAGTTTGGGGCACCTCTGAGGGTCGTCTGAGCTCCAGAGACACTTGGGACAGACCGGGACAGTCCCTAGGAATGCACCACCTGACTCCTGGCATCCCCAGTCCTCCATTCGTCATTCTCTGACATGCTTCACATGCAAATCTCCTTCTGAGTCTGTTTCCCCAGGAACCAACCTGAAACAATTCATTTCAAAGTAACTACATCATGTGTTCAGATTATAAGAAGGTGATGGACTTCATCACATAGAACTGTATCTGGAAACCCATGTTCTTTGGTCATTTTTCTTGATACATGATCATGTTTCTCATTTTAAAAATTATTCTCGGCCGGTTGTGGTGGCTCACGCCTGTCATCCCAGCACTTTGGGATGCCAAGGTAGGCAGATCACCTGAGGTCAGGAGTTTGAGACCAGCCTGGCCAGCATGATGAAACCCTGTCTCTACTAAAAATACAAAAAAAATTAGCCAGGCATGGTGGCGGGCGCCTGTCATCCCAGCTACTCGGGAGGCTGAGGCTCAGGAGAATTGCTTGAACCCTGGAGGCAGAGGTTGTAGTAAGCCAAGATCGCGCCATTGCACTCCAGCCTGGGCGACAAGAGCCAAAACTCTGTCTAAAAAAAAAAAAAAAAAAAAAAGAGAAAAATTATTCTCTGCAGAATTCCTATCTATCCGATGTTGGACCTCCAGCCCAGTCCTCATTTTCTTTTTTTTTTTTTTTTGAAACAGAGTCTTGCTCTGTCGCCCAGGCTAGACTGCAGTGCCATGATCTCAGCTCACTGCAACCTCTGCCTCCGAGGTTCAAGTGATTCTCGTGCCTCAGCCTCCCGAGTGGCTGGGATTACAGGCGTGCACCACCATGCCCGGCTAAGTTTTTGTATTTTTAGTAGAGACGGGGATTCACCATACTGGTCAGGCTGGTCTCGAACTCCTGACCTCAGGTGATCTACCCTCCTTGACCTCCCAAAGTGCTGGCATTATAGGCGTGAGCCACCGCGCCCGGCCAGTCCTCATTTTCTTATCAGTTCTTTCCTGTTTGCCATCTCCTTCTCTTCTTACTGCACTTTCTAGGAGACTCACTTGACCTATTTTCCAAGGTCTCCATGTGTTCGTTTGTGTTTTTATATAGTTCTCAAGAACTTTTCTTTATTCTCCAAATTGTATTTTTTACATCTTCCTATTCTTATTTCATGGATTCTCTATCATCTCTTCTCTGAGGAAATTCATGAGGTTTTCAAAGATGTTTTCTTCCCTCTACATAATTTCCTCTATGCTTCTGTTTTTACCCCTGTTTGCTTGTTAGGATATATATATATACCCCCCCCAAAAAAAATATATATATATACCCAAAATATATATATACCCAAAATATATATATACCCAAAAAATACATATACCCAAAATATATATATACCCAAAATATGTATATACCCAAAATTTATATATATACCATATATATATACATACCATATATATATACATACCATATATATATACATACCATATATATACCATATATATATACATACCATATATATATACCATATATATATACATACCATATATATATACCATATATATATACATACCATATATATATACCATATATATATACATACCATATATATATATATACACCATATATATATATATTTATTTTATTTTATTTTATTTTATTTTTTTTTTTGAGATGGAATCTCTCTGTTGCCCAGGCTGGAGTGCAATGGCACGGTCTTGGCTTACTGTAACCACCACCCCTCCCAGTTTCAAGCAATTCTCCTGCCTCAGCCTCCTGAGTAGCAGGGACTACAGGCGCATGCCACCACACCCGACTTATTTTTGTATTTTTAGTAGAGATAGGGTTTCACCCTGTTGGCCAGACTGGTCTGCCCTATGATGTCAGGCTCTGTTCATTCTGTTTCTGGAGAATTCTGACTGATGCCTACACCTTTGAAAGGTGACTCTGCCACTCTGTCAGTCAAGAGCTGGAGCCTGTTTCTCTATCTCTTCAACCTAGGTTTGACCACATGATTTGCTTTGGCAGATGGAACGTTAGCAGCTGGGGACCTTTCTGCCACCACAAAAGCCTAGATTATCCTGATGGACGATGGAAGACACATGGCTGTTGTTCCAGCTGACATCAAGCCAACCACTGGACAAGATAGGAAAGCTCTCCTAGAACACGAAGGCCCGAATGAACTGGCCCAGAGCAGAGAAACTGCTCAGCCAAACTGCCAAGCTGTGATTAACAAAGGCTTCATCTTAATCCACCAGATTTTGGGGTGGTTTGTTACACAGCGAATGCTAACTGATACAGTCATTATCATTAGGTCTTTCTTGAGCTGATCATACTTCCCAGCATAGAATACGCCAATGTCCTGCTCCTTATTCCTGGCTGCCAGCATTGTAAGAGCTGAGTGGAAGGCTGGGGTTTTCAGCACTCAATATGTAAGTATTCCCTTCATTTTCTAAGCAAGTTAGGGCAATTTATGAAGCTTTAGAGGGCACACGGGGTCCACATAGAAGACTGCCCTCATTTCTGACATCAAGTACAAGTTTGGAGGGTTCCCAAAACCACCCTCAGCTTCAACAATTTGCTAGAAGGACTCACAGAACTCACTGAACGCTGTTGTACTCACAGTTATGGTTTATTACAGGGAATAGAATACAGCTTAAAATCAGCCAAGGGAGGAGACACATGAGGTGGAGACTAAGAGGGGCCCAAATGCAAAGGTTCAGGTTGTCCTTTCCCGGTGGGGTCCTACACACTGTTAACTCCGCCCTCACCAGCATTGATGTGTGACAGCATGCCCAGAGCATCACCAACCAGGAAAGCCCACCTGAGCCTTTGGGGTCCAGAGTTTTTATCCGGGCTTGACCACACACCGCCCCCATGGCTGGCCTTTACTGCCCAGCCCCTCCTGGAGGCAGGGCTGATACCTTTCATCTCCAGTCCCTGGGAGATTGGAACTGATAGCATGTGGCACAAAGCATATGTCATGAATCACATTGTTAGGCTGTCTGGTGGCTAACCCCCCCCAAAGCAAAGACACTCCAGTTAGTCAGGACATTCCAGGGGCCTAGAGATCGCCTCCTAGGAGCCAATGGCAAAGGCTGGACCTCTCTTTGGGCAAAATCAATTTTTCACTACATAAACTACCCTCTGGCATTTGGCCAAGGCTTTCTTATACAGCAAAACAATCGTCTTTGTTTAGGCATCTATAGTTAGTGTAGTGTTTATTAGACAGATAGAGCAATAGTGGGCAACTCATCTGTCCTATAAAGCCATTACATACATTTTCATATTTTTATACTGTTAATAATTTGATTACTCTTTTCCTCCCTTGATCTGCTGTTATTTGTACCTTCTGATAAATTTATACTGAGCTATTTAGCATAGAAATTAGGTAATAGTCAGCTAAACCCAGTTCTTCCTCAGGCCAGTCATTTTATTACAACCTGAAGAGAAGTTTTAACTCAATCTCTCAATATATTTGATCATCAATATCAGCATTATTCTAAGACTTGTTTATATAAGGTAGTTGACTCTTATTGGTAATGAGGCCAGTATTAAATCACATCACAGTATGGTAACCTGAAAAATAAATGCCAAAAGATATCATCACATTACCAGAGTCCTACTTAGTCATTATCAATTACTCCAGTTTCATCATATCGTATGACCAAAATGTCCATCAATCATCAATCGAATGACCATCAGTCATTATATCATATGACCAAAATGTCTCCTGAGTGCTAACACTCAGGTTTGCAGACTTTCATTCGACATGGTCAGGTTGCGAAAGCACATGCAGTCTCAGCAATCCATAGCTCTACCTTTTCAGGCATCAGGTATATTACTGTGGTAAGAGACAGTAACAGCCAGGAGCGGTGACTCACACCTATAATTCCAGCGCTTTGGGAGGCCAGTGGGCGGATCACTGGAGGTCAGGAGTTCGAGACCAGTCTGGCCAACATGATGAAACCCCGTCTCTACTAATAATACAAAAATTAGCCAGGCATGGTGGTGCATGCCTGTAATCCCAGCTACTTGGGAGGCCGAGGCAGGAGAATCGCTTGAATCCAGGAGGCAGAGGTTACAGTGACCCAAGATCACACCACTGCACTGCAGCCTGGGCAACAAGAGTGAAACTCTGTCTAAAAAAAACAAAACAAACAAAAAAAGAGACAATATCATCTCTCGCTCGGAGTCTTTCTTGAAGCGCCAAAGTAAATGTCAGATCTCCCTCATGGCATAAACCATTTATCCATCCCTTTGCTCTTAGCTGCCTTTCCCCTTCTCTCTATTTATCATTTCATTTTTTCCAGCGTTTCCATCTTTGGAAAGGACATTAGGTTTGGCCACTGCGCCGGTATAGACTGCCAGAAGCAAGCATGGCGAAGCAAGGACTCCTCCCCGAGTCCTTTCCCACTTATATAGGATAGGGGCACACAGGCACAGAACTAGTGAGCTCTCCCAACAACCAGGTAACACAGCTGCATTCAACACTAACGCCAATTTTGCCAGACGGTGAAGGCACAGCCCACACCATCAGGCCCCCAGGAATTCTGACACAAAGCTTTAAAGGCCTGGTTCTAGCTTCTTGCTTAGGGATCATCCCTCCTTCTGGCACCTACCATTGCTGCCATGATCCTGGAGCCGCTGCATCAGGTAGGAAAAACGGAAGGTGAAGTGACATAGGGAAGAACTGTGTGGTCACATTAGCATCCCCCCATCCCTGCCTCCCCAGATCCCATAGAAAAGTCGAGGACTGTGTCCAGTGTGCACTCTCTTGGGCTCCTCTTGTGGAGTGTGTGCATGAAGGCGTGTGAGCCAGCCCTTCCCGCCTTTATCACCCTGTTTTAGACAACGCATGTTTCAATTGCCTGTTCCACTTCTCTATCAAACTTTTATTCTGAGGGTTAAAGTGTGTTCCAAAGAAATGTAATTGCCTGATCGGTTCATCCTGCCTTCTGGCCAGAAAAGCCAATGCACTGAGAACAGCAGCTTTTTTGCAATAGAAAAAGTTTAACGGCTGGGCACAGTGGCTCATGCCTGTAATCCCAGCACTTAGGGAGGCCGAGGCAGATGGATCACCTGAGGTCAGGAGTTCAAGACCAGCCTGGCCAACATGGTGAAACCCCGTCTCTACTAAAAATACAAAAAAATTAGCCAGGCGTGGTGGCGGGTGACTGTAATCCTAGTTACTCAGGAGGCTGAGGCAGGAGACTCACTTGAACCTGGGAAGCAGAGGTTGCAGTGAGCCAAGATTGTGCCACTGCACTCCAGCCAGCTCAACAAGAGCAAGACTCCATCTCAAAAAAATAAATCAATCAATAAATAAAAGAGTTTAACTATTACAGGGCTGGCCAAAAGGAAAGAGTTGACTATTCAAATCACTCTCCTCAGAAATTCAGATACTAGGGTTTTTAAAGGATAATTTGGCAGGGAGGGGGCTAGGGAACGGAGAATGCTGATTGGTTGGGTTGAGGATAAAATCACAGGGGGTTGAAGCTGTCTTCCTGCTGCTCTTGAGTTCCTGGGTGGGATCACAAAACTAGTTGAGCCAGTTTCCCATTCTCGGTGGTGCCAGCTGGTTCATCAGGATGCAGAGTTTTGAACACCCGTCTTGGGTTTGACAATAGTGATGTTATCTATAGGAGCAATTGGGAAGGTTATGACTCTTATGCCCTCTAGAACAATGGCTGGTTATTGTTTCATTATGCCTACATGTTAGCAGAGTTCAGACCCCTTCCTAATCTTAATCTGCGGCCTTTCATTAGTGTTAAAAAAGCAATTTCATGCTTGAACAAGGAAAGGTGTAGTTTTGGAAAGGGCTATTATCTGCTTGCTTTAAGGTTAACCTATGAACTAAATTCCTCTCTAGGTTAGCTTAGCCTATGCCCAGGAATGAACAATGACAGCTTAGAGGTTAGAAGCTAGACAGAGTCAGCTATGTCAGATTTCTCTTACTGTCATAATTTTGCAAACGCAGTTTCAGTGTGATTCAGTGGTCTAAATTGGGGCAATATTTTCAATTCTAGTCCTTTTGCAGTATTTTGAACATCTGCATCTACCACTGGTCAACAGCCAGTCCAGAGCAGGTGCCTGTTCCTGTCAGGATCCATTTGTAGACCCCAGGGACCATCAGCATCAGACCAACTTGGCAGCTCCGTGCAGGGCCTTGCCCTGGAGAATCTGCCCCACCACCATCCGCAGTCTCTGCTTCTCTTGCTGGCTGACTGAGCAGCTGGTATTGTGTGCCTCAGAGACCACAAGAGGAACACATGTGGATTCAGCCATGTCTATACTGCAGCATCCCCACTGCCCCCATCCACTCCTTCCATGAACCCAGGTGGCCACCCAAGCAAGTGCACAGGATACCCACTTGCCAATTCCAACCACTTTCTCATCCTGGAAGGGCGTTCTGATGGGTGCTGACATGTCCTACTTCAATGTAGCCCTCACATTCTCCTAGTAATTTCCACAAGGCTGTGCCCCATATGGGCATCCCTTTAAGAGGCCAGCTTTCCATTGCCACCTGGCTTAGTCTATGGCCAGGCCATTGGCTACTGCCCATGAGTCGGCAAAAACTCAAACAGAGGGGCAAACGGCATGCATCTCAGCCCACTGAGCTGATTTGTTTGTACCTTGTTCAATCAGAATGGCGCCTTCCAAATAGGATGCTGTCTGCTCACATTGGAACCGCCATCCATAAACCAAGTAGCTCTTTGTTGATCAATAAAAGTTGTTCATAGGGTAACACTCAACTGGTTATAGGGCCCAGCAGCTCCTCGGGTGGTTCCAAAGTGAATGCTAGGGGAGAAGAGGCTCCTTGCTCACAAGTATCTCCTCCTTGCATTCCCCTGGTACCATGATCCTGCATAAACCAATTCCATTTTACTGTGGAGCTTTTCTGAGCACTCTTTTCTCCATTAGAGTGTTTCTCTGGCATTGCCCAAGACATTCTGAATATTTCAGGTTTTAAGATCAGTTTATGTCCTTCGGTCATAGGGCAGTTTCAATCAATGTCCAGTAGAAGGCAAGTAAGTAATTGCCTTTTGAATGGAATTTTCCTAGTCCAAAATCCCAGTAGTCCTCACTGGGTGGCTCTCAGAGGCTACTGCCATAAGTTCCAGCCTGCCCTCCACACAGGCACATTGCACAGATAATCTGTCTCCATCATTACTCTAGTAAAATTAACAACCTGCATGGGCTCAGGTAATTTTCTTGATTCCTATTTTTGGCATGTTCAGCCAATATTGGCTGAAGGGTAGATTTACATGCTTAATGTTTTATAATACTAGGTGAGGGAAGCAGTCCCCAGTCAGACTCAATATCCATCCCCTTAATAAACTCAGGTAAAGGAGATACCACCACTTCACATAAAGTCCATTCAGACATTCCAAATTTCATCCAAACTTTCACTTAATTTCTTCAATATTTCATTCCCATATCCTCTCAATCTAACTATAGCCCCTTAGAACTTCAACAGCTTTTGGAATCACAGTGCATGGGCCTCGTGTGTCAAGGAGTCCTAGAAATGTCTCCTCTTCACCTGCTGACCATTTACCCACGTGCATGCATACACCCTCAGTTCCCCAGCTGAAGATGGGGCCAAGGGACTCAGGCCCTTTTGTCAATCTTCATCCTGATTAGATTGTGAGACCATTGCCTCAGTGATTCAAAATCAGATTTCTCATTGTCATCCTTGCTTGCTGGCTTTTAAAATTCCTCCAAACTATGAAGCAGAGTTTGTTTAAAGTGAATAAAGCAGATTTATTTAAAGCCCTTCGCAGCCGGGCACTGTGGCTCACGCCTATAATCCCTGCACTTTGGGAGGCTGAGACAGGCAGATCACCTGAGGTCAAGAGTTCAAGACCAGCCTGGTCAACGTGGTGAAACCCCATCTCTACTAAAAATACAAAACTTAGCCGAGCACGGTGGTGGATGCCTGTAATTCTAGCTACTTGGAAGACTGAGGCAGGAAAATCGCTTGAATCCAGGAGGCAGAGGTTGCAGTGAGCCAAGATCATGCCACTGCACTCCAGCCTGGGCGACAGAGCAAGACTCTGTCTCAAAAAAAAAAAAAAAAAAAAAAAAAGAACCTTCACTGCTGGGGGACAAGCAGGGGCTCCCATCAGTCCCTACAGTTTCTGAGAGTGCTGCATTAGGCTTTTGTCTTCACTCCATCAAGGTCTGCTGTATTCATCCCATTAATAACCACTGGAAGATTTCTGCCCTGCTGGGATGAGTCCCTTGACTTTCTCCTCTGTCCTTCCCCCATACCCCTGCACATCTTAGCTATTGGTTGCATCTGCTTAACTGTTCCCTCTGGTAGCAGCACTGACGTTAGTGGCTGTAGCTTGGACCCACCTGAATCCAAGCTTAGGACAGCCTTAGGATCCATCCCAATACTCTTACTTTTATTTTAGTTATTACAGATAACAATAACCAAGAGATTGGTACTAGCTTGTTCCTTGTTACTTTTCATTTCCTTATATATCCACTACCAGCTCCTCAGAATTGGAGCCGTTATTTCTAAATTCCTTTGGTAACTTCTGCCTCCAGCAACTAATTGCAGCACAGCATTATTTCCAAACCGCCGGCAACCCTGTGGCCATCCAGTAATCAAAGGTTCATCACCTCCATAATCACCCCCAGCCCTTTCCTCCTTCTTCCTCTCAAATCACATGTTTCAGTGAGTCAGGGTGGGGCTAGTGAATCCCACGTATGACACCAACTGTGAAGTGTTTTGGCGACCTGTAATGTCAGAGGGACCAGTCATTAAGACCACTGTTGCTTCTGAAATCAATTGCAAATAGAAGGGTCTCCAAGATCAGCTTTAGGTTTGATAATTTACTACAAGGAGTCACAGAACTTAACTGAAATCTATTATACTTACAGTAATGATTTTTTTTTACATGGAAAAGATACAAATCAAAACCAACCAAGGGAAAAGTGCCTACAGTGAAGTCCAGGGGAGTCAAATGTAGTTTTTTTTGTGGAGTCAGGGCATATTACTTTCCCAATATCAACATATGACAACACACATGGAGTGTTATGGAAGCTCACATAAGCTTTGTTGTTCACAGTTTTTACTGTGGTTTGGGTGCATGTTTGTGGATGTCCTAGACTAGGCATCCAAATTCCATCATTTTCACAGGCAGCTACCCCTGGAGTGCCTCTTGATTCTAGGGGTGCACACGACAGGCATGGCCTACCCTCAGGAGGACTGACCCAGGGAGAAGGGTTCATCAGGCATTGGAAGTGGATTCAGGGCAATCTGAGAACGATATTCAAGCACCATAATATTTGGAACGTGGTCTAGAACAGGAGTGCAAGCTTTGAGTGAACATGACCTCTTTGATCTACAAATTGTCTCCTATGGGAAGGGGGCTGGACAGGAAAGGAAAAAGCATGCCTGCTGGTTGGAATAGATCCTGTTATTTAGCTAATCCTCTTAGTGCTTTTCAAATCTTTAATTAGCCCGCCTTCTCTTCTTGTCTTAACTACTAATAGATTATCATGGATTTAAATTTTTCAGGCACTAGACAATCCAAAAGATCTACAAAAACTTTACATCTACAAGCCAAGGCACTGAATCTCAGCCCCAGAAAGAGACTGTGACCTTCCTTCCTCATCAGGATCCCAAGAAGCCGTAGAACAAGAGGCTAAGAGGTTCGAAGGACACTGGAAAGGCTTCATGCTGCTGTAGGTTGTGGATGGACAAGCTTTGTGTCTGGAGCTGCTGTAGTGGGCCACTCAGTTAGTTCACCCAGGCTCCCACATTCTCCATGCTCTGTTTCAGGAAACAACCAGAACTGTGGACAGTCTTACCAAAGACACTAACATCATCACCAGAGAATTAAAGAAATCCAGTGAGTGGCCCACAACAATTGGCTGGCATAGGACATGATCCTAGCTTCCCACAGGGCACTTGGGATTGTGCAGTCAGAAGTGATTGATGTGCATATGTTTCCACAGACCTCTCTGATGTCTATGCCGTCACCAAAAATATTCAGACTGCAAACCAGGAAATGCATTGAATTGCCACCATTGTCCTTATACTTCCGTTTAAGGACACTCCAGGCCCAACGTCTCAAGGCCTTTTAGGCTAGCTTCCTTCAAACCTCAAATCTTGGTTGCTGTCTAATTTAACCTTTAACCCTTTTACCATTTGCCCTGAGAACACTTGCCGGCAGCACTTCCAGCTGCAGCGTTTACCCAAAGATACCTCTGCCAGGAAAGACCTTGCTTTTATTATTACTTTTGCATTTCTCTAGCATATTGACATTGGAAACAAAAGACATCATTCTATATATAGCATTCTGGTTTTAGTGGTGGTAGTTCCATTTACAAAATATAGTAATTCTTGATCACTGAAAATGTCAGAGCCTAGAAAACGGAGCATTCCTATGCGTGATGTTAACATCATTAAACAGTTGTTGGCCAAAGACTCATGTGATGAATCCAATTTTTCTAAAATAAATAGCTCAGATGATTCAGATGATTCTGATATTAGGTCTGTTTAGAAATAAAACTTCAAAAACAGTTTTTATATTTTACTTCCACATTGAAAATCAGTCAGATTTGCTTTGGCCTCAAAGAATGTGTTCATGTAAAATTAAATGAGCACTAGCAGCCAGCTGTCCTTTTTTTTTTCTAAATGGGAAAAGGGTTAATAATTATTATTTTAAACATATGCTAGGTATACCTCTCTTGAATGCTGATCTCTAAGACTCTAACACCTGTCATTCTAGAACACAGTCAGCAGATGACACAGCTAGATCTTCCGGGCCATTGAGAACATGAAGGCCAGCGCACCCCTGAGACCTAATTGAACCCGCCTCAACCTTACAGTGAAGGTTATTCCATCCCTAATAGCATTGAATACAGTGAAGCTTATTCCATCCCTAATAGCATTGAATACAGTGACGGCTATTCCATCCCTAATAGCACTGAATACAGTGAAGGTTATTCCATCCCTAGTAGCATTGAATACAGTGAAGGCTATTCCATCCCTAGCAGCATTGAATACAGTGACAGCTATTCCATCCCTAATAGCATTGAATACAGTGACGGCTATTCCATCCCTAATAGCACTGAATACAGTGAAGGTTATTCCATCCCTAGTAGCATTGAATACAGTGAAGGCTATTCCATCCCTAGCAGCATTGAATACAGTGACAGCTATTCCATCCCTAATAGCATTGAATACAGTGACAGCTATTCCATCCCTAATAGCATTGAATACAGTGACGGCTATTCCATCCCTAATAGCACTGAATACAGTGAAGGTTATTCCATCCCTAGTAGCATTGAATACAGTGAAGGCTATTCCATCCCTAGCAGCATTGAATACAGTGACAGCTATTCCATCCCTAATAGCATTGAATACAGTGAAGGTTTTTCCATCCCTAATAGCATTGAATACAGTGAAGGTTATTCCATCCCTAGTAGCATTGAATACAGTGAAGGCTATTCCATCCCTAGTAGCATTGAATACAGTGAAGGCTATTCCATCCCTAGCAGCATTGAATACAGTGACAGCTATTCCATCCCTAATAGCATTGAATACAGTGAAGGTTATTCCATCCCTAATAGCATTGAATACAGTGAAGGTTATTCCATCCCTAATAGCATTGAATACAGTGAAGGTTATTCCATCCCTAGTAGCATTGAATACAGTGAAGGCTATTCCATCCCTAACAGCATTGAATACAGTGAAGGTTATTCCATCCCTAATACCATTGAATACAGTGAAGGCTATTCCATCCCTAATAGCATTGAAGGACAGATTTTGTGTGTCAGAAACAATGAGAGAATAACCACAGGCTCACAGTTGCCAATTTTTTACCAACGACTTTGGCTTGACCAAACTTCAATTGGGCTTTTACCCATAAATCCCTAAATGTTGCCTTTCACGCAAGCACTCAGAGGTGCACTGTCTTCCTGAAAGGCTCAGTTGCACAATCAGCTTAGTGTAGAGGAAAATATTTCCTGTTGAAAAGACCTGATTTTGCCACCTGTCTACCCATCCACTTGCCCTCCTCCATAACAAAGCTTCTGCAAGTCCTGTATACCCCACCCTACTAAAGAAAAGCTTTATCTAGTTGATTTTGGATTGACACAGGTTAATAAAACCAGAGCATTCTCTTTATTTCAATAGGCTTTTTGATTAGTTTCTTTTTTCCTTTTCTTTTCTTTTCTTTTCTTTTTTTTTTTTTGAGACAGAGTTTTGCTCTTGTTGCCCAGGCTGCAGTGCAATGGTGTGATCTCGGCTCACCACAATCTCCGCCTCCCGGGTTCAAGTGATTCTCTGCCTCAGCCTCCTGAGTAGCTGGGATTACAAGCATGCGCCACCACACTCAGCTAATTTTGTATTTTTAGTAGAGACGGGGTTTCTCCATGTTGGTCAGGCTGGTCTCAAACTCCCGACCTCAGGTGATCCTCCTGCCTTGGCCTCCCAAAATGCTGGGATTACAGGCGTGACCCACCGCGCCCACCCTAGTTTCTTTTTATCTAAGTCTGGATTTCCATTTTTTTAAGAGACAGGGTCTCACCGTGTTGCCCAGGCTAGATTTGAACTCCTGGGCTCAAGCAACTCTCCCATTTCACCCTCCTGAAGAGTTGCAAGTCCAGTCAGGTGCCATTACTCTCAGCTTGGATTTGTGTTTATCTGTCCATAGGGTCATCTGATGCCCACAGGCGAGGGTGTCAGATAAATTGCCCTGCTCAGGCACTGTCTAGACATGATGACATATACCATGATGCTCTTGCTGCCCACCCCCAAGGCAGCAGGTGACAGCACTGGGTGGAGGCTATAATTATATTACAAACCCCAGCAGGGGAGGCAGCAGCGGGTCTGGTGCATGGGTCGGGGTGGGCACCTGTACAAGGACGTGGTCTCTTTGAGAACCGCCATGTTGCCCACCCAACTCCCTCACCCCCTCCCTACTGCAAATTCACAATGCAGCCAGCGCCCTCACGATGGCCAGCTCCTTCCACTGCCGCCCAGGTGCCCTCCCAGGCTCCTGCTGCCCTTCGCCCAGTCCCTCCGGTGGTCAGTGCCAGCATGTAGATCGGTGGCTTAAACCTGCACTGTTGCAGGAGTGCCTGGGATCTGTGCCAAGAGAGCTTGATCCCTGGAGGCAGCCACAGAGTGGGTCCCCCTGTCCTTGGTCCTGCCACGACCCATCAATCATCCCGGATGCAATGGCATTCAGCCCTGCCTGGGGTGACACAGCCTCCCTGTACCCCTTCCCACTTCTCTACTCTCCACCCTTCCCTAGAAGGGCATCTGCTGTGTCCCCTCCTCCTCCAGGGCCCCTCCCAGCTTTCAGTCTATCCCCATAATATGGCCGATGCTCTGCGGATTTTCAAGCCCCTCACAGCGGCTGCTGCAGGAAATAGGGGGTGCAGCTCTTTGCTCTCTGTCTAGCACTTACTAACTGTCTGACCACAAAAGCCCCTGTTCCAAGGACATGGGAGGAGGACAAGGCCATCCTTAGTGACATGCAGGATGCAGAGCCATGGTGTGGTTCTTTTTTCATTTCAGTTTTGGGAGGTCATCAGCGATGAGCATGGGATCGACCCCACAGGCAGTTACCATGGAGACAGTGACTTGCAGCTGGAGAGAATCAACGTGTACTACAATGAGGCTGCTGGTGAGTAGCGGGATGTGTGTGCCCAGGAATCCTTGCTTTCCATGATGTGGGAGATGAAACGTCCCAGGAACATGCACGTGACAAAGGCATGCTTCTTGCATATTCATTTCAAATGCCAACTACTGGAAAAACACGCTTCATTGGTTCCTAAGATTCCTGCCTGTTTTCTCGCTCTGTCGCCCAGGCTGGAGTGCAGTGGCACGATCTCGGCTCACTGCAAGCTCCACCTCCCAGGTTCACGCCATTCTCCTGCCTCAGCCTCCCGAGTAGCTGGGACTACAGGTGCCTGCCACCACACCCAGCTAATTTTTTGTATTTTTAGTAGACACGGGGTTTCACCGTGTTAGCCAGGATGGTCTCGATCTCCTAACCTTGTGATCTGTCCGCCTTGGCCTCCTAAAGTGCTGGGATTATAGGCGTGAGCCACCGCACCCGGCCAGGACCTCCTTTTTCTTAAAAGCAGAAAACATCCTCTTTTCCTTTTGTCTCAGATACTGGAATTGAATGCTACTCTGACTCTCTCCCGGAGCCCAGGTCTAAGTCAGTTCTCATTCCCGGCAGGTAACAAATATGTACCTTGGGCCATCCTGGTGGATCTGGAGCCTGGAACTACAGACTCCATCAGGTCTGGACCCTTCGGCCAGATCTACAGGCCAGACAACTTCGTGTTCGGTATGTAGTCATGATCACTGGGAACTGGCCAAATGACACACCTTCTTCCTAACAGCCCTGCGAAGCACAGTTCTTAGTGTTCAGTGCCAAGGTGACACTGTGTCCACGGCAGCCCTGAGTCCTGGCCTAGCTCCATGCAGTCCATGGGCGGTCATGGCTCACAGATCAACGCCAGCCTGCAGAGGGCTGCTGCAGCCCTCCCATTGCAGAGCAGCCTCAGACTGGAAGGAAGAAAGAGCAAGGAAAAGCTTCAAGCCAGGCTTCATAGCTATAGGCAACTTGAAAGGACTTCAAAGAGCCAGGGGCCTTGGGAGGCCGAGGCGGGTGGATCACAAGGTCAGAAGATTGAGACCATCTTGGCTAATACGGTGAAACCCCATCTCTACAAAAAATACAAAAAATTAGCTGGGCGTGGTGGCGGGTGCCTGTATCCCCACCTACTCGGGAGGCTGAGGCAGGAGAATGGCGTGAACCCGGGAGGCGGAGCTTGCAGTGAGCTGAGATCGTGCCACTGCGCCACTGCACTCCAGTATGGGCGACAGAGCGAGACTCTGTCTCAAAAATACATACATACATACATACATACATACATACAAACACACATAAAGAGCCAGGAGCCAAAAGCACAGGTTATGACCAGAGCTAGACAGATGCTGAGGCCAACTTCTCTCCTGGTCACACTGCCTTCACCTTGCCTGTTTAATTGTACTTGAGTATAAAGAGAATGCCTCTTATAAATGTATGTATTTCAAAACCAATTAAGTTTTCTAACCCTATCCTCTTCCTCAGTCAATGGCCTCAGATTTGCTAAACTTAATTCTAACTTTATTATGATCCCGAGGGTTTTTGAGGGTCACTAACATAGAAAAATATTTCTGGCCAGGTGCAGTAGCTCACACCTGTAATCCCAGCACTTTGGGAGGCCGAGGTGGGTGAATCACCTGAGGTCAGGAGTTTGGGACCAGCCTGGCCAACATGGTGAAACTCTGTCTCTACTAACAATATAAAAATTAGCTGGGCATGGTGGCAGGTGCCTGTAATCCCAGCTACTAGGGAGGCTGAGGCAGGAGAATTGCTTGAGCCTGGGAGGCAGAGGTTGCAGGGAGCCGGGATGGAGATGCTGCACTCCAGCCTGGGCGACAGAGCACGACTCCATCTCAAAAAAACAAAAAAGAAGAAGAAAAATATTTCTTTAGGTAAAAGAAGAGTATTCAAAAGAGAAGAATCTGCCAGTTTGAGACCAGTCCTACCTCCTCCTCCATAGTCAAAATGACAGATGTTTTAGGCAGGCCAGAGCGGAGCCGGGAATAACTGGGCCAAGGGCCACTACACAGAGGGAGCCGAGCTGGTCGACTCGGTCCTGGATGTGGTGAGGAAGGAGTCAGAGAGCTGTGACTGTCTCCAGGGCTTCCAGCTGACCCACTCTCTGGGGGGCGGCACGGGGTCCGGGATGGGCACCCTGCTCATCAGCAAGATCCGGGAAGAGTACCCAGACCGCATCATGAACTCCTTCAGCGTCATGCCCTCACCCAAGGTGTCAGACACGGTGGTGGAGCCCTACAACGCCACCCTCTCGGTCCACCAGCTGGTGGAAAACACAGATGAAACCTACTGCATTGACAACGAGGCCCTGTATGACATCTGCTTCCGCACCCTGAAGCTGACCACCCCCACCTACGGGACCTCAACCACCTGGTGTCGGCCACCATGAGCGGGGTCACCACCTGCCTGCGCTTCCCGGGCCAGCTGAACGTAGACCTGCGCAAGCTGGCGGTGAACATGGTGCCCTTCCCTCGCCTGCACTTCTTCATGCCCGGCTTCGCGCCCCTGACCAGCTGGGGCAGCCAGCAGTACCGGGCGCTCATGGTGCCCGAGCTCACCCCGCAGGTGACATGCCCTTGCCTAGCATCCATACACTGAGAGGAGTGGGGCGGGGAAAGTGAAATGTTCTTCAGCAGCTGCACAAAGAACCAGGACAGCTTCCTGTGAGTCACCAGTGTGATGAGGCTCTCCAGCGGTGACGTAATCAGACCTGCATCATCCCAGCCTTCAGACAAGAACAACTAAATGAGTGAGAGCATCTCTGGCCTTTGCATTCAGCTCTGAGTCCAGTGCCTCTCTAGATTACAAAGTATTTAAAATCCTGCTTCATGGTGGGTCCAGAGAGGGACTAGAAATGCTTAGCTAGTGAGGAGAGCACTGCTGCAGCATGAAAATGACAGGAATCTGAATGGCAGCTGCAGAAGACAGACGGGTCAGCTAAGGGGACACAGCAGGTCCAATGGCTGAAGGCCACTGTCAGTGGATACAAGGACTTTCCCATCAAAATTCTTTGTAGCAGACACTGTTGGACCCACCCTGTGCCTTTGGCCATTGTTTTTCTCAGACCTGCTGATGGCTTCTTACTGAAAAAAACTGTGACCTGCCCCAGGGGTCACTTGTGCAGCAAGGTAAACCTCTTTCTGGAGGCTAAGTAGCCAGCTCCCCTCCACTCAGGTGGGGCGACGCAGAGTGAAGTTCTGCCTGGTCTCTGACAGATGCCCCTGGGTTGAACCCTTGCCACCTGCAGCAGTGACCTGTTCTGAGGCAGCCCCTTGGCTTCCTTCTCTTTCCTGGCTCTGTTCCCCACAGCACTTCCAACGCTTCCCAGGACAGACACTGCCCTCATCACCTTCCACTCAGATCCTAGCCTCAAGGCGTGCTTTGGGGCACCTGACCTACATCACTCATCAAAGAAGAACTCGTCTACCAGTTTGCTATTTTAACAGGTTACCACAAAGTCAGCAGCTTAACGCACCAGGATCACCTTACAGTTTCCGTTGCTTGGGAGTCCAGCAGGTCTGGGAGGGCTGCACTCATCAGGAGCTCAGGGGCCTCTCCCATGCTTGCTCACGTGCTCAGCAGGGGCCAGGTCCTCACGGTCATAGGCCGAGGTTCCCGTTTTCTTGCTGGCCTTTGAGCAGAGGCTGCTTCCTGCTCCTGGGGGCTGCCTTCTGTTCCCTGCCACATGGCCCTCTCCATAGCAGGCTATCGGATCCTTCAAGGTCATCAGGAGGGGGTCTCTACTGCTTCCAAACTCGAATATCCTGTCTGTCAATGGGTGGAGAAATCTTCTTCTTCAAAAGGGCTCATGTGATTAGGGGAGGCCAATGAGATCATCTCTCTATCTTAAGGTCAACTGACTTGGAAACTTAATTGCACCTGCAAAATCCTGTCACAGCAGTACCTAGATTTATGCTTGATTGAACAACCGGGAAAAGGTGAGTGTTGTAAAACAAAAATAAAATTCTAAGGCCCCCCCAACCATCTGAATGGAACCCTCCTCTCAGCCAAGGTCATTCAAAGTTAACCTGAAAAACTCATTCAGGCAATGATGGGAAGTGGGAGCTGGACATGTCTCTGCATTCCCTCCTCCCGTTTGGAAATGCTGATAGAACAGACTCTTAAAGTCTGATGAGAAACGTTTACAATCTATTCTCTCTGAAGCCTGCTACCTGAAGGCTTCATCTGCATGACAAAACCTTGGTCTCCACAATCCCTTATCATAACCCAGGCATTCTATTGATAACTCTTTCTACATATTGTCAGTCAGAAAACCTTTGAATCTATCTATGACTTGGAAGCCCCCCTCCTTCCAGTTGTCCTACCCTTCCAGACCAAACCAATGTATATCTTATATGTATTGATCGACGCCTTCTGTGTCCCTAAAATGTATAAAAGCAAACTGGACCCTGACCACCTTGGGCCCATGTTCTCAAGACCTCCTGAGGACGGTATCATGGGCCATTAGTCACTCATATTTGGCTCAGAATAAACCTCTTCGAATATTTTACAGAGTTTGACTCATTTTGCCAACAGTATATACCACGAGCCAGGTGAATCTTGGGCCACCTTAGAGTCCTGCCTACCCCAGAGTGGAAACAGCACAGCCTCTGGAACAGATGAACCTGTGTTCCTAAAGTAAGTTATTTTTTTTCCTTCCTAGTTGTATGGCCTTGGGCAAGGATTTTAATCTCTCTGAGCCATACCTTCTTTGTCCAAAAAATGGTGATCATGGTAGCCACTTCAGAAGGCAATTATTATGAGGATTAAATGAAATGCACATGTAAATTACTTGTCACATATGTGTGCAATCACTGGCTCTGTAGGAGCACCTTGTCAAGGGAGGTGTTCAGGGATAGGCTGTATAACTTCCCATCAGGGATTCTGCATAGAGAAGCCATGATAATCTTGGACTATCTTTTAATTTTTTTTTTTTTTTTTTTTTCCGAGACTGAGTCTCGATCTGTCGCCCAGGCTGGAATGCAGTGGCGCGATCTTGGCTCACAGCAAGCTCCGCCTCCCAGGTTCACGCCATTCTCCTGACTCAGCCTCCTGAGTAGCTGGGACTACAGACACCCGCCACCACACCTGGCTAATTTTTTGTATTTTTAGTGGAGATGGGGTTTCACTGTGTTAGCCAGGATGGTCTCGATCTTCTGACCTCATGATCCACCCGCCTCGGCCTTCCAAAGTGCTGGCATTACAGGCATGAGCCACCACACCCAGCTGGAATATCTTTTAATTTTTAAATATACAACCTTTAGGTTCTTTACAACCAGGAAAAGTCTGTGGCTCCACGTAAACATTCTTGAAAGAGCTTTTCATCAGAAAAAGGCCTTCATTGATTGGTATTAAATTATTTCCTTGGGGCTAGGTGCAGTGGCTCACACCTGTAATCCCAGCACTTTGGGAGACTGAGGCAGGAGGATCACTTGAGCCCAGGAGTTCAAAGTTGCAGTAATCCATGATCATGCCACCACACTCCTTCCTGGATAACAGAGCAGGGCACTGTCTCTTAAAAAAAAAAAAAAAAAAAAATTATAAGCTGGGCGCAGTGGCTCACACCTGTAATCCCAGCACTTTGGAAGGCTGAGGTGGGCGGATCATCTGAGGTCAGGAGTTCAAGACCAGCCTGGCCAATATGGTGAAACTCCATCTCTACGAAAAATACAAAATTAGCCAGGCATGGTGGTGCATGCCTGTAATCCCGGCTACTTGGGAGGCTGGGGCAGGAGAATCGCTTGAACCCAGTTTCACTCGCGTCCGTGTGAAGAGACCACCAAACAGGCTTTGTGTGAGCAACAAGGTTGTTTATTTCATCTGGGTGCAGGCGGGCTGAGTCCGAAAAGTGAGTCAGCAAAGGGAGATAGGGGTGGGGCCGTTTTATAGGATTTGGGTAGGTAAAGGAAAATTATAGTCAAAGGGTGTTGTTCTCTGGTGGGCAGGAGTGGGGGTCACAAGGTGCTCAGTGGGGGAGCTTTTGAGCCAGGATGAGCCAGGAGAAGGAATTTCACAAGATAATGTCATGAGTTAAGGCAGGAACAGGCCATTTTCACTTCTTTTGTGGTGGAATGTCATCAGTTAAGGCAGGAACCGGCCATCTGGATGTGTATGTGCAGGTCACAGAATATATGATGGCTTAGCTTGGGCTCAGAGGCCTGACATTCCTGTCTTCTTATATTAATAAGAAAAATAAAATGAAATAGTGGCAAAGTGTTGGGGTGGTGAAAATTTTTGGGGGTGGTATGGAGAGATAATGGGCGATGTTTCTCAGGGCTGGGATTAGGGGTGGCGTGGGAACCTAGCATGGGAGAGATTAAGCTGAAGGAAGATTTTGTGGTAAGGGGTGATATTGTGTGGTTGTTAGAAGAAACATTTGTCGTATAGAATTATTGGTGATGGCCTGGATACGGTTTTATATGAATTGAAAAAAGAACGGAATAAGAAGGAGAAAAACAGGTATTAAAGGACTAAGAATTGGGAGGACCCTGGACATCCAATTAGAGAGTGCCTAAGGAGGTTCAGCATAGTCCTGCCAGCAAAGATTATTTATTTACTTTAACAGGGAGTTAAGAGTGGCAGTTTCGGGATAGCACCAGGAGATATCAGCTGTGATGGCTTGGAGAAACAGTGAAAAAGGGCAGTGTAAACAAGAGCAGAGCATTTATGAGTAGTTGAGAACGGTGAATAGGAGTATGACTAGACAGAAGATAGTAGGGATGACAAGTTTTTTGGGGTGCAGTCCAAGTTGGTCTGGTGTCTGGAATGAGACTGGGGCCTAATAAAAAGGAGCGTCTATACAGGAGCTTAAATGTGCTGTACCCTGTAGCATTCCGAGGACAGGTCTGACTTCTGAGAAGGGAAAGTGGTGAAAGTATTGTCCAGTCCTTTTTAAGTTGGTGGCTGAGCTTGGTGAGTTCTGTTTTTAAAAGACCATTAGTCTGTTCTACCTTTCCTGAAGATTGAGGACGGTGACGGATACGAAGGTTTCACTGAATACTAAGAGCCTGAAAACCTGCTTGGGTGATTTGACTAATAAAGGCTGGTCCGTTATCAGACTGTATAGAGGTGGGAAGGCCAAACCGAGGAATTATGTCTGACAGAAGGGAAGAAATGACCGCGGTGGCCTTCTCAGACCCTGTGGGAAAGGCTTCTACCCATCCAGTGAAAGTGTCTACCCAGACCAAGAGGTATTTTAGTTTTCTGACTCAGGGTATGTGAGTAAAGTCAATTTGCCAGTCCTGGGCAGGGGCAAATCCCCGAGCTTGATGTGTAGGGAAGGGAGGGGGCCTGAACAATCCCTGAGTAGAATAGCAGATAGAACACTGAGAAGTTATTTCCTTGAGGATAGATTTCCATGATGGAAAGGAAACGAGAGGTTCTGAGAGACGGGCTAGCGGCTTGTAACCTACATGGAAGGTTATGAAATGATGACAGAATAGAATGGGCCTGTAAGGCTGGAAGGAGATATTTTCCTTGGCCTAAGAACCATTTGCCTTGTGTGGGAAGAGATTGATATGGTGGAAGTTTCAGCGGGGGAGTAAGTGGGAGTGACCAACGTGTAGGGGGAAAAACTGGCCATGACAGACAGAAGTTGGAATGCTAGCTGCTTGTCTAGCCACCTCATCAGCATAAGCGTTGCCTAGAGCAATAGGATCTATGTGTCTGGAATTGGTGGATTCTTGGTCTCACTGACTTCAAGAATGAAGCCACAGACCCTCGAAGTGAGTGGTACAGCTCTTAAGGTGGTGCATCCAGAGTTTGTTTCTGCTGTTACGGATGTGTTCGTCGTCTCACTAGCTCAGGAGTGAAGCTGCAGACCTTCACAGTGAGTGTTAAGAACTCTTTAAGGCAGCGCATCCAGAGTTGTTTGTTCCTCCCAGGGGGCTCATGGTCTACGCTGGCTTAAGTGAAGCTACAAACCTTCATGGTGTTACAGCTCAATAAAAACAGTGTGGACCCAAAGAGCGAAAAAATAAAGCTTCCACGGCGTGGAAGAGAACTGTCGTGGGTTACCACTGCTGGCTCAGGCAGCCTGCTTTTATTCTCTTATCTGGCCCCACCCACATCCTGCTGATTGGTAGAGCCTAGTGGTCTGTTTTGACAGGGTGCTGATTGGTGCGTTTACAATCCCTGAGCTAGACAAAGGTTCTCCACGTCCCCACCAGATTAACTAGATACAGAGTGTCGACACAAAGGTTCTCCAAGGCCCCACCAGAGTAGCTAGATACAGTGTTGATTGGTGCATTCACAAACCGTGAGCTAGACACAGGGTGCTGATTGGTGTGTTTACAAACCTTGGGCTAGATACAGAGTGCCGATTGGTGTATTTGCAATCCCTGGGCTAGACATAAAGGTTCTCCACGTCCCCACCAGACTCAGGAGCCTAGCTGGCTTCACCCAGTGGATCCTGTACCGGGGCTGCAGGTAGAGCTGCCTGCCAGTCCCACGCCCTGCGCCCGCACTCCTCAGCCCTTGGGTGGTTGATGGGACTGGGTGCTGTGGAGCAGGGGGCGGCGCTCATCGGGGAGGCTGGGGCCGCGCAGGAGCCCATGGAGAGGGTGGGAGGCTCAGGCATGGTGGGCTGCAGGTACAGCCCTGCCCCGCGGGGAGGTAGCTAAGGCCCGGTGAGAAATCGAGCATAGCGCCGGTGGGTTGGCACTGCTGGGGGACCCAGTACACCCTCTGCAGCCGCTGGCCCTGGTGCTAAGCCCCTCATTGCCTGGGGCCGGCAGGGCCGGCTGGCTGCTCCGAGTGCGGGGCCCACCAAGCCCACGCCCACCTGGAACTCTAGCTGGCCCGCAAGCGCCGCCTACAGCCCCGGTTCCCGCTCGCGCCTCTCACTCCACACCTCCCCGCAAGCTGACAGAGCCAGCTCTGGCCTTGGCCAGCCCACAAAGGGGCTCCCACAGTGCAGCGGCGGGCTGAAGGGCTCCTCAAGTGCCGCCAAAGTGGGAGCCCAGGCAGAGGAGGCGCCCAGAGCGAGCGAGGGCTGTAAGGACTGCCAGCACGCTGTCACCTCTCAATCGGACGCCTTTTGATGCCCCTTGCAGTGAATGACTCCAGCTTCCTTTGGAAGTAAAGCGGCCATGAGCAGAGTTTTTATTAAAGAGGCATTAATGATGCAGGACCTTGCGTAGTGAGAAAACCTCTTTCAGCCCATATAACTGCATGGTGGTGCAGAATATGGAAGGCATATTTAGAGTCAGTATAAATATTAATGCGTAGTCCCTTTGCAAGAGTGAGGGCCCGAGTTAAGGCAACTAGTTCGGCTTGCTGAGAGGTAGTGGAGGGGGGCAGAGCGGTAGCCTCAATGATAGATGTGGAAGATACTATTGCATAGCCTGCCTTTGCTGGTGAGTGGCGATTAGGCCTGGTGGAACCGCCATCAATAAACCAAATGTGATCAGGGTGAGGAACAGGGAAGAAGGAAATATGGGGAAATGGGGTGAATGTCAGGTGGATCAGAGAGGCAGTCATGAGGGTCAGGTGTGGTATCTGGAATAATGTTGGAGGCCGGATTGAAGTCCAGGCTAGGAACAATGGTAACTGTGGGAGACTCAACAGAGTGAGTATAGCTGAAGGAGCTGGGGAGCAGAAAGTATATGGTCAGGTGTGAGGAAGAAAATAGATTTTGGAAGTTATGAGAGCTGTAGAGAGTGAGTTGAGCATAGTTTGTGATTTTGAGGGCCTCTAAAAGTATTAGGGCAGCAGGAGCCGCTGCACGGAGACATGATGGCCAGCCTAAAACATTGAGGTCAAGTTGTTTGGACAAAAAGGCTGCAGGACGTGATCCCAGTCCTTGTGTAAGAATTCCGACTGCACAGCCCTGCACTTAGGCTGTGTGTAATGAAAAGGGTTGGGATGAGTCAGGGAGAGCTAGAGTGGGGGCAGTCTCTAAAGCTGTCTTCAAGGAACGGAAAGAGGAGTGGGAAAAGGATTTAAGATCTATGGGGTCAACTAGGTTTCCTTTTGTGAGTTTATATAATGGTTTTGGTAGGATGGCAAAACCAGGTATCCAAAGTTGAAAGTATCCAACCATGCCTAGGAAGGAAAGGAGTTGCTGTTTTGTAGAAGGGGTTGGGGTTTGAGAGATCAGTAGGACATGATTGGCAGGGAGAGCAGTGTGTTTTTATGAAGAATTATGCCAAGGTAGGTAACAGATGGAGAAGAAATTCGAGCTTTGGAGGGGGATACCAGATATCCTTTGGAGAATAAATGCTGAAGGAGCAGAAGGGTGTCTTGTTGAGAAGATTCAAAGGAGGGGCTACAAAGAAGAAGGTCATCAATATATTGAATAAGGTGAGAAGCGGGGGAGTGGAAAGAAAGTAAATCATGAGAAACAGCTTGGCTGAAGTAATGAAGGCTGTCCCTGAAACCTTGCGGCAGCACAGCCCAGGTAAGCTGCTGGGACTGATGGGTGCCAGGGTCAGTCCAGGTGAAAGCAAAGAGAGGCTGGGACGAGGGGTGCAGGGGAATAGTGAAAAAAGCATCTTTAAGATCAAGAACGGAATAGTGAGTTGTGGAGGAAGGTATTGAGAACGAAAGAGTGTACGGGTTGGGCACCACAGGATGGATGGCAAAACAATTTGATTGATGAGGCGCAGATCCTGAACTAATCTGTAAGACTTGTCCGGTTTTTGGACAGGTAAAATGGGGGAATTGTAAGGAGAGTTTGTAGGTTTTAGAAGCCCATACTGTAACAGGCGAGTGATAATAGGCTTTAATCCTTTTAAAAAGTGCTGTGGGATGGGATATTGGTGTTGAGCAGGGTAACGGTGATTAGGTTTTACTAGGATGGTGATGGTCATGTGATTGGTTGCCAGGGAGGGGGTAGAGATGTCCTATACTTGTGGGTTAAGGTCGGGGGATACGAGAGGAAGACGCAAAGGAGGCTTTGGGTTGGGAAGAAGGGTGGCAATGAGATGCAGCTGTAGTCCAGGAATAGTCAGGAAAGCAGATAATTTGGTTAAAATATCTCGGCCTAATAAGGGAACTGGGCAGGTGGGGATAACTAAAAAAGAGTGCATAAAAGAGTGTTGTCCAAGTTGGCACCAGAGTGGGGGAGTTTTAGGGGTTTTGAAGCTTGGCCGTCAATACCCACAACAGTTATGGGGGCAAGGGAAACAGTCCCTTGAAAAGAAGGTAATGTGGAGTGGGTAGCCCCCGTATCGATTAAACAGGGGATGGACTTACCCTCCACCGTGAGAGTCATCTGAAGCTTGGCATCCGTGATGGTCCGGGGGCTCCCGAGGCGATCAGGCAGCGTCAATCTTCAGCTGCTAAGCCGAGCAGATCTAGGAAGGAGTCAGTCAGAGAGCCTTGGGCTAGAGCTTCAGGGGCTCTAGGAGTAGCTGCTGGATGAGCTGGGCAGTCTGATTTCCAGTGGGTCCCTGCACAGATGGCTTGGGAGCAATCCTGGGCTGTGGGCATTCCTTGGCCTAGTGGCCAGATTTCTGGCACTTGAAACAAGATCCTGATGGAGGAAGTCTTGTAAGAATGCTTGACTGCTGTGGCTTAGGTGTGTGCGGCTTAGGCATTTTGAAGTTCTTGTGTGCTGGAGGTGTGGCTGGGTTTTGTCTCACGGCAGAGGCAAGTAATTGTAACTCAGAAATGCGTTGCCGTCTGGCTGCCTCCTCTCTATTATTGTACACCTTGAAGGCAAGGTTGATTAATTCCTGTTGTGGGGTTTGAGGGCCAGATTCTAATTTTTGAAGTTTTTTCCTAATGTCAGGAGCGGATTGGGTGATAAAATGCATATTAAGAATAAGGCGGCCTTCTGGCCCTTCTGGGTCTAGGGCGGTAAAGTGTGTAAGGGTTGCTACAAAGCAGGCCATGAACTGGGCTGGGTTTTCATCTTTACCTTGGGTAGTTTCTTTAAGCTTGTCATAATTAACAGCTTTGTAAGCTGCCTTTTTAAGCCCTTCAACTAGGCAGGAAATCATGTAATCTCGCCTAGCTATACCTGGGGAATCTGCCTGATAGTTCCATTGGGGATCCTCTTGGGGAACTGCTCTGATGCCTTCCTGGAGGTCTGGCTCATGAAGCCGGTGGTTATCAGCGTGAGAGTGGACTAGAGAAAAAACTCTTTCCCTTTCATCTGGGGAGAGGGTAGAAGTCAGGATGACATTTAGGTCACTCCAGGTTAAATTGTAGGACAGAGTTAGATATCGGAATTCCTGTATATGTTTAGTGGGGTCTGATGAGAAACAGCCTAAACGCTGACTGATCTGTGAGGTCTGATAGAGAAAAAGGTACATGTACCCTGACTATGCCTTCAGCTCCAGCCACTTCTTTAAGAGGAAATTTGGGTAGGTAAAGGAAAATTATAGTAAAGGGAGGGGGTTGTTCTCTGGCTGGCAGGAGTGGGGGTCACAAGGTGCTCAGTAGGGGAGCTTTTGAGCCAGGATGAGCCAGGAGAAGGAATTTCACAGGATAATGTCATCAGTTAAGGCAGTAACAAGCCATTTTCACTTCTTTTGTGGTGGAATGTCATCAGTTAAGGCAGGAACGGGCCATCTGGATGTGTACGTGCAGGTCACAGGGGATATGATGGCTTAGCTTGGGCTCACAGGCCTGACACCCAGGAGGCAGAGGTTGCAGTGAGTCGAGATCGAGCCATTGCACTCCAGCCTGGGCAACAAGAGTGAAACTGCGTCTTAAAAAAAAAAACAAAAAAACAAAAAAACAATATGTCCTTAGAGTACAGAATTTAAGGCGGTGGAGCCTGCTTGCCCAAAATGGTGGGAGGATAATGAGAGGTATAAAAGAACTCTAAATCAAAGAAAATGACCAAGGTGAGTCTCAATCATTTTAGAGGTTTATTTGCCAAGGTTGAAGACGCACTCAGGTTTATTTTGCCAAGGTTGAAGACGCACTCAGGGGGAATAAAGAACACAAAACCATGGGAACATCTGTGATCTGCGCTTTTTCCAAAAAGGGTCTGGAGATGTCAATATTTAATGGAGAAAGAGTGGCAGTGGGGGAAAGAGGAAAGAAAAAATGGGCGGGTAGATAAAAGGAGAGCAGTTGCATTCTTTTGAGACTTTGATCAGCTTTCACTGAATGCACATTTTACATGTGAAAGGAGGAGGTAGAAGGCCAGTCCATTATGCATTTGTCTCAGTGAATCTGCAGTTTTACATTAGATAAAGTAATCACAGGGTACAGGAAGCAGCCAAACGTGCATTTGTCTCTAGTGAGTGGAGGGAGGATCTAGTCCTGTCTTTGTCCTTTACCTATGAAGATGAGCTGTGAATTTACATTGTCAGGGTGAAATTCAACAGAACTGTTATAGGCTAAAGATCTAGGGACCTACAAGGAATTTCCTGATGGGCAAATCATGTGGAAGGTCCCCTAGGGAGGTTTGTGGCCTTTTATCTTTGTAGCTATCTACTTAGGAACAAAAGGAAGGCAGTCTTTGCATGACTCAGTTCCCAAGCTTTTCCCTTTGACTTAATGAGTTTGGGGCCCAGAGATTTTTATTTTCCTTTCACAGAACAAAAAGGAGATGTAACCACCCTTACAATGTCACTGAGGACTAGTTCTGGATCGGTAAGCTAAATTTACAACTGCAGGTAGCTACAGTGGAAATTTCTGTCTCAGGCTGGGCTCAGAGTAGCAGCAACCTAGGTTTTTCTGAGTCAGCCCTGCAGGGCAGAGGTCTCCTTGTAACCCACCTCTGACATATACATCCTAGCCTCTTCGTCCTGCTTCCCCAACGAGGCCTTTCAGCCAGATCTGAGATTGTGACACAGATTCTGATTCTTGCATTAATCTCTGGTCATTTTTAGTAGCTCGTTTGTTGACTCAGCTCCAGAGCCGCTCAGCCTCTGTCCTCACTCCCTCTTCCCATACTTAGCCTGGGCTTTCCCCACCATGGATGGCCTCAGCCTATGCTGTTTTCAGCTTCATTTCTCCAAGGTCACTGTGATATTGTGAAGTATATGTTCAACCTCGTTTTTTGGCATACAACTCCTAAAATTCTTAAAATCTCCAAAGTGATGTCTTTTTTATGCTAATGAATCAGCTGGTGGCTGGCAGCCCCTAGGTAGCTTCAGGATGGGGCTGGTCACTGGAAAGAACAAGGCATGATTAGAGGGTTGGGACTTTCAGCCCCATCCCCTAACCTCCCTGGAGAGGAGAGGGCCTGAAGGTTAAGTTGATCACCAGTGGCCAATGATTTAATTAATCAGGCCTACAAAATGAAGCCTCCATAAAAAACTAACCCAAAAGGACCAGGTTTGGAGACCTTTAGGTAACGGAACATATAGAGGCTACTGGGGGTGGGGCATGTCCTGGGAGGGCATGGACCCCTTGCCCATACCTCACTCTAGGCACCTCTTCATCTGTAACCTTTGTAATAGCCTTTATAATAAACTGGGAAATGTAAGTAAGCATTTCCCTGAGTTCTGTGAGCTGCTCTGGCAAATTAATTGAACCCAAGGAGGAGACCCTGGAATCCCGGATTTATGGCCAGTTGGTCAGAGGCACAGGTAAGACAGCCTGGCACTTGCAGTTGGCATCTGAAGGTGGTGGGGAGAGCCTGGGGGACTGAGCCCTCAGCCTGTGGGATCTGACATTATCTGCTGGTAGATGGTGTCAGAATGGAATGGAAGTTGAGGACACCCAGCTGGTGTCTATGGCAGAATTGATTTCCTGCTTGGTGTATGGGGAAACACCCCTACACGTTGGGTCACAGAAGTCTTCTGTGTTGGCTTTTGTGCTGTGAGAACAGAGGAAAAACGATTTGTGTTTTTTCACTCACAGAGTCAGTATTGGCTTCTCAATGAGATCCATAATGCCTCATTAATTACAAAACTATCCAACCTTAAATGGCATCTGTACATTATGTCAGTATACAAGTATTCATGAGTTAACAAATTTTGAATTTTGAAAGGCCAAGTACATAGAAATATCCAGTTGCACATTGCCTCTCTATCTTATCATGCACCCTAACTCTCCCGTCTTCCCCTAACCCATGTACGACAACCAAGCTGCTCTTGGCCTGTGAGCCCCCTGAGGGCCAGCGAGGGGAATAACTGCCCACAACCCCTGACCACGTACCCAAGTTCCTCCCAAGGAAACTGGGCACCCAAGAAGCACCTCCCCTTCCCCTTTCCACATTCGCTGCTCTGTTAAATCGCCCTCAGAGGGTGTTTCTCCTGCATATTTGTCTCCATCTTCCTTAATCTCCTTCTTTCTTTCAGTTATTAAAAAAATTCTGGGTGGGCGCAGTGGCTCGCACCTGTAATCCCAGCACTTTGGAAGGCCGAGGCAGGCAGATCACTTGAGGTCAGGAGTTCAAGACCAGCCTGGCCAACATGGTGAAACCCTGTCTCTACTAAAAATACAAAAATTAGCCGGGCGTGGTGGCGGGCGCCTATAGTCCCAGCTACTTGGGAGGCTGGAGCAGGAGAATAGCTTGAACCCGGGAGGTGGAGGTTGCAATGAGCTGAGATCGAGCCATTGTACCAGCCTGGGGGTCACAGTGAGACTCGGTCTCAAAAAAAACTTCTACTCATTTCTTGATAACCAGAAAATGATACTAAAAGTGGGTGATGAATGGAGCCAGCTCGAGCTCTGGAGGTCGCTGGCACTCTTTTGGAGGAACTGTCCCATATCATATTAGATATGTTTCATTTTCTATTTTAACTTTTTACATTAAGTATAATTTATACATTACAATATAAAAGTTGAGTTGTCTTTGACTAATTGACATGATATATTCTGTAGACATTTAAATAAACATTCATTTTACTATTGCAATTTTCCTTTTATTTTGGGGTCATTACTCCCCCTACACCCCCCACATCCCAATCCTGATCTCAAACGTTTCCTTAGGTCTGGAAAACTAATTAGCAGTGTGCTTGTGGTGACTACTGGTAAAACTGACCATGCCGGGCAAACTTTAGGTAGTGGAAGTAACAAATGTTCTTCCTAACTGAGAAGAGACACAGAATATATACATTGGCAGCACTACATTTAAGCCAGCCATTGGTGGCATTTCATTAACACTAGCAACAAAACGTGGGGGCATCAAAAAGTAAATTTAACAAAATTAGCCCACCCCCTATTCAGATGTTCCCTATTGTTATTTTTGTACGACAGGGCTGTTAGGCGGAGACGGAGGTTGCAGTGAGCCCAAATTGCGCCACCGCACTCCAGCCTGGGTGACAGACCAAGACTCCATCTCAAAAAAAAAAAAAAAAAAAAGTACTTCGATATTCTCTTATAGCTACAAAAAACAAAAGGCACGTCCTATTTTGAGCGCATCTCCCGCCTAGTATTTCATGAATTTGTGGGGTTGGTTGGTGCTCCCGCTGCAAAGGCCGTCCGATCTTGAGACAGAGGCTCAGGCCTTGCCGGCGACGGGCAGGGACGGGCGGTGGCGGCCTCCAGGGGGAACCCGGGTCTTGGGGCGGGGCGGGGCGGGGCGGGGCGGGCAGGGCCTCCGGGGGGCACAGCCCCGCCCTCCCCCTGCGCCGCGGCCCCTGGACCCCGGTGCCTCTCCCGCCCGCAGGAGGCCCCGCCCCGCCGCGCCGCGCTCTCACCGCGGGGAGGGGGCGAAGCTCAGCCTTTCCCGAACTACCGTTTGCCTAGAGCGTGAAACGGAGCGGGTCGCGCGCCCCGGCGCTCCGGACGGAAGGAGAAGGCAGCGTGGCGGCCCCACCCCGAGTCCCTGGCAGCCCAGACCTGGCGAAGGGTGAAGAAGCCTGGCTCCAGAACTAGGTGGTCAGGGGGTCAGGTAGTAGGAAGCCACGGAGCCGGCTCTCCCGGGTGCCTCGCGCCTCCCGGCGCCGCCCAGCGCCCTCTGCCCTGGACCTGCAGACTCGACGTCTGGGTGGGGGCAAGAGTGTTCCGATGGCGCCTCGGCTCGCGCTTAGCGATCCTGCGCTCGCTCACTCTGCAGCGCCAGCCTCGGGATTAGGGGAGAGGAGTGTAGTGCGGAGCTGTATGCAGAAGAGCGTGCGGCCAGCGGAGACCGCAGTCTCGCCGCATGGGAGCCTCGCAAGTGGCTCTGGAGTTGAGTCCTGATTCCAGAAGAGCTCCAGGGAGGGAGGGGAAGGAGGGAGAAAAAAAGGGAGGGAGGGAGGGAGTGGGGGGAGGACGGGATTAACCCGTTATAATAGCTAATATTTATATAACACTGTGGGGCAGGTGGTATTGTGAGTGCTTTCACATATTCATTCAGTCTTTATCACAACCCCAGGAAGCGGGTACTATTATTACTGTCACTTTACAGATGAGGCAACTAAGGCAGAGAGAGGTTAAGTAACTTGCCGAGGTCACACAGCTAAGAAGTGACAGTGAGGATTTGCACCCAGTCCATCAACTCTAGGCCCTGTGCTTTTCAACAGTCAGGGAACGCGGCAGGAGGGCACTGAGTCCTCTAAACGGCCTTAGTCATGGGAAGCAGAGATGAGTTTGCTCTGTAGATAATTCGGTATGCTCTGGACACCTCAGATTATGGGGAGAATGACAGTTGGGAGTAGGTTACATATTTTTGAGAATTTGTGAGATTATGTCTAAGTCATAGCAGAAGAAGATATAGTATTTCTTCACTCTTAATGTTGAAGGCAAAAAAAAAAAAGTTATAAAGGAACAAAAACACCTAAACAGCCCATGAATAGGAAAAACACAAAGGAATATAATACATCAAGCATTTAAAAAAATCTCGAGAACAGGGGATACACTTGTGCTCTTTAGTACTTTCTAAGTGTTTCTAATTTTATAATCAGGAAATATGTATATAAGATATATGTATATATAATTGCTGTGTACATTGTATGTATTTAAAAAAAACTTGGGGGGTTATAGCTTAATGAGAATTTGACATCAAGAATAACATCTTTGAGACCAGCCTGGCCAACATGGTGAAACGCTGCCTCTACTAAAAATACAAAAATTAATCAGGCATGGTGGTGCACGCCTGTAATCCCAGGTACTCGGCAGGCTAAAGCGAGAGGATCGCTTGAGCCTGGGAGGCAGAGGTTGCAATGAGCGAAGATCATGCCACTGCACTCCAGCCTAGTCGAGACTCCATTTCAAAAAAAAACAAAAAATGACATCTTCAGTTTTGAAAGGCCCCAGATCGACACTTGTAATATGAATGTCACATTCTGGGGCATGGCCCATTCCAGAAAGTGGCTAAAAATCTTCTATATATTTACTCTGTATTATTATAGTCATCTGATGCAAAAAAAAAAAAAAATTGTAAACTTTGGTGGGGTTGATATTTTAAAATTAAATTTAATTGGAGTTCAGACTTTTATTTTAGGTAACCTTTTGAAAAGGTTACATCCCCTTAAATGCTTTGAACAAAATTCTTCCATCTTCATAAAGAGATGCTTTTATTTAAAAAATAGCAGACAGGGGCTGCACTGGATGAGTTTCATGGGAAAGAGAAGTTGGAGCGGAGAGTGTGGCTAGTTCTCTGAGGGCACAAACAGGATGCAAGACTGTACCATACAAATTTAGACAATTGTATTGCTGGGATGGTCCTTGGGTTTTCATCATTCTGCAGAGGAAACTAGTGTTTTTGAAGTTCCAGGACTCTCTTACTTGGACCAACTAAATCTATTTCAACTAGATCACGACTGTCACCCTTAGAGATGGCATCAGTGAACAGTAACGATATCATCATAACACCACATATTCACAGGGTACGTTTCACTAGAACATTCTCACCAGGACCCTTCTCGTTGGGCCCTCTGAAGCAGCAGGCGGGAAGGGCAGGCAAAAGGGTAAGAGCTTATGTCCTTTTGTGAAAGACAGATGTGGCTCAGCCTCCTACCTGGAACACATTCTCTAGTCTGAATTTTGTCATTACACCTGCCCTTCCCCGCCCCCCGCCCCTCACCCCGCCAATGATGCCTTCAGGGTAGGGGTGGCTCAGACACTGCGAGTGGCATCCTGTCTAAAGCAGGAAGTGACTTGAGGCTGGAGGAGGTTGGTCCTCTTCCCCTTCCCCATCCCCGGCCCACCCAACAGCCGGTGGAGCTGCTCCTCTTTAGACACTGAAAAATACATGAAAGGGGAGAGATTGCTCCTTAAAAACCTATTCTAGGGAAGGGGACAATTAGCAGGCTCTATTTCCTCCTGTTATTATCTGCATCGGTGCTGTACAAGGTCGAGTTGCTTAGTGACAGCGAGGTGGGGTTGGGGATATCTACACTTGCCGCGAGGGAGGGGAGAGCAGGAACTCACGGCCTCAGATGAGTCACCTTAGGCAGGGCAGGCATTATTTAAAACTCCGCGTGTGAGTTTCTCTGATTATATACTAACACACATCACGGGCGGCACCGAGGGAGGAGCGCGTCAGAGAGAAGTAGGCTGGGCGTGAACTGCCAGGCAGGAGAAGGCCGACTTGGGCAGAACATTCACTGCCAGCGATCCAGAGCAGACAATCAGGTACCTGGCCTGCGCCCGTGAACACTGCCATGGATTTATTTTCTGTGCGCTCACTAATGTCCAGTTCACGCACAGTGCCTCCCAGCTCCCCAACGTAAGAAAAACCCATTTCCAGAGAAGCTCAGAGAGGTGCAGTGACTTGCTGGAGGACTGAGCTAGGAACAGCAGAGTGGGCACATGCTCCACAGGCCGGGAAACGCCCAGCTGCTAGGGGTCCCCGTGTCCCTAGTGCTGTCCCTTTCAGGTCTCATCCTCTGCTCCTATTTGGCCTCAGATTTCACGCTGAATTAAAACACAAAGGCCAAGAAGCAATTATCTCTGGAAAAATCTTTTCAGAACTGTGTAATGAGTGAAGGTACCCCAAGGAGAGCCATTCTCTGGAGAGGATCTGGAAGGCTCCGGCTGTGGTGAAGAGCCAAGATGTGAGAGTTGGGGTGGGGGTGGGGAGAAGGTGGAGGTCAAGCCCTGGGTACCTGGGAGTAGCATCCGAGGGACAGGTTGTCCACTGGGGGCCCAGCAGCAGGGAGAGGGGAGAGAGGAGGAGAAATTCTAGGAAATCTGTCCCCACCCTGAGAAGAGGCACTAGGCACCTGCCTACCTACATCTGGGAGGATGCTGGGCGCTTCCTAAAGCTGGGGTGATTAAGACCTAACTTGGCCTAAGAGGCTACTCACAGACATCTGGCTTTAGTTTCCACCTCCGATACAGACCAACTATTGAGGTGGCAGGTAGGGTGCACATTAGGAATGACAGCATCATCTTGGGTTTTTTGTTGTTGTTTTTTATTGAGACGCAGTCTGGCTCTGTCGCCTGGGCTGGAGTGCAGTGGCGCCATCTCGGCTCACTGCAAGCTCCGCCTCCCGGGTTCACGCCATTCTCCTGCCTCAGCCTCCCGAGTAGCTGGGACTATAGATGCCTGCCACCAGGCTCGGCTAATTTTTTTGTATTTTTAGTAGAGACGGGGTTTCACCGTGTTAGCCAGGATGGTCTCGATCTCCTGACCTCGTGATCCACCCGCCTAAGCCTCCCAAAGTGCTGGGATTACAGGCGTGAGCCACCGCGCCCAGCCCATCACCTTGGGTTTTACCAAGGCATTTTTACTCCATAAACTCAATGTGCTTTCATATATGGCTTCTCATCTCCTACCACAAAGCCAGCTCCAAGGCACCTGTAATTATCATCATTATATAGTTGGAATGTGCTGGGAACCAAAGGCAGTCCCCAAGCCCCTGTTACCTAGTCCACCGTGCAGGGCCATCTTTGTGAATAATTAAGTCAGGTCCTTACCACAGCCCACCCAAGCCTTTAAAACTCACCTGGGCTTTTTATTTATACAAAGGCTTTAGATTCCTTCCCTTCCTAGCTTTGTGGCTGGTCAGGTCTTTCAACCTCGCTTTCGGAGCTATGAAATTGGGGTAGTAATAATGCTTACCAGAAGCCGGTGGTAGTCAACAAAAATATGCGTAAGTGAGCAGCAAATGGAAACCAAGTATGTAATTTTACATTTTCTAATTTCAAAACAAGTCATTTAACACAATGTATCCAAAACACTATTATTTTGATAGACCATCAATATTTAAGAATCAGTAATGAAATATTTCACATTATTTTAACTTACTGAGCCCATAAAAGCCAGTGTGTTCTTCACACTTAACAGCCCATCTCAGTTCAGATTACCTACGTTTCAATGCTCGGCAGCCACCGTGCCTAGGGTCTACCGAACTGGCCAGCCTAGCTCCGACAGCTTCTGTGAGGATCAGGCGACCTAAGGGGTGTAAGGGGCAGGGCCATCAGCTGACACATCAACGTGGCAGATATATTCCTCCTGTCTTTCCTCTCTGACACACACACACACACACACACACACACACACACACACCCGCAGAATTTTCCACATTTAAAAGGCCTTTACAAGGACGCAGGAGCCCAAAGCGGACATGTGACAAATCCAGCCCTTTGATAGCCCCCCCAACCCCCGCCCCCGACCAAGCCATCTTCCTCCCCTGCAGGGGCGAAAGGCCGCCCACCCCGCCATCCTGGCATTCCTTTCAGGCAGCTGCCCGTCGGCTCCCCGCGGCCCCCCACTCCTCTCCACGCTGCCCACCCCACCCCCACAAACGGCGTCCAGGACCCTGCCCAGGATGCGGGAAACCTTTGCCACCCGCTGGAGAGCCCACTGCAAATGGGTCTTCAATTTCCGGCCCCCTACTCCAAAGGGTACTCGACGCCTCTTCCCGTCCTTAGGAGGCGAGGACCCTGTTCCGAGGCAGCCCCTCCCCCTGGTTCCGGGGCCCCCGGTCCCCAGCCCCCCTCGGGGGTCCAGAGTGGGCGGCTCGGGGTGGGGATCGCGGCGTGAGCGGAGGACCCAGCGCCAGGGGTCGCCCGTGCCCGTGGATCGGGCAGGGGGCTGCGGCTGGGCCCGAGGCCCGGGCACCGCACTCACCGCCGGACCGCGAGGCCGGCCGCCCACCCTAGACCCAGCGGCAGCAGCAATAGGGCGAGCGCCCCCACACCTCGCACCGCGCCCCGGCTCCCCCTCGCGGTGCCGCAGTCCCAGCCGCACCGCCCCCGCGGCCACAGCCCCGCCCGTCATGACGTCACCGGGCAGGGCGGGTCCCCGGGTATAAAAGACCGAGCTGGGGGGGCGGCGGCAGGTCTCTGCGCAGCCCAGCCCGCCGGTCCACGCCGCGCACCGCTCCGAGGGCCAGCGCCACCCGCTCCGCAGCCGGCACCATGCGCGAGATCGTGCACATCCAGGCGGGCCAGTGCGGCAACCAGATCGGCGCCAAGGTGGGCTCACCGCCACGGAGGGGCCCGGGGTTGGGACCGAGGGTGCGGGCTGGGGCCGGGGCGGGGGCTGGAGGCCGCGGCGGCCCCGGGCTGGCCGGGTGGCACATTCCGCGGCGAGGCCGCCGGGCGGGGTCCGGGAGGCTGCATGACCCGCCAGGATGCCCGCAGCGCCGCAGCTGTGTGTGCGTTTAATCGGGGGCCTTTCGATTTCCCTGGGACACAGCCCTTCTGCGGGACGCGGTTGGCATTCCCCTGGGTGTATTTGTCTCAGAAACTTGGGTCGGGGGTACGGTCATATTTATTGCGCTAGCTTCATGTGAATTTAATTTGTATATTTTTCTCTACGGTTTGAATGAAAACATGCAGTGTCACTGGACTGGCAGATGTAACAGAGGCGTCCCTTTGGGTCGTACAGGCAAGGGTGTTAGATAAATTCCCTTGCTCGGGCACTGTCTTGACATGATGACATACAACGCGATAGTCTTGCTGCCAGTCCCCGAGGCGGCAGGTGACTGCGCTGGGTGGGGGCTGCAATTACCGACCGCTGTGTGGGAGGCAGCAGCGGGTCTGGTGCATGGGTGGGGGCGGGCGCCAGTACAAGGACGTGGTCTCTTTGAGAACCGCCATGTTGCCCACCCAGCCTCCCCGCCGCAAATTCACAATGCAGCCAGCGCCCTCACGATGGCCAGCTCCTTCCACTGCCGCCCAGGTGCCCTCCCAGGCTCCTGCTGCCCTTCGCCCAGTCCCTCCGGTGGTCAGTGCCAGCATGTAGATCGGTGGCTTAAACCTGCACTGTTGCAGGAGTGCCTGGGATCTGTGCCAAGAGAGCTTGATCCCTGGAGGCAGCCACAGAGTGGGTCCCCCTGTCCTTGGCCTGCCACGACCCATCAATCATCCCGGATGCAATGGCATTCAGCCCTGCCTGGGGTGACACAGCCTCCCTGTACCCCTTCTCCACTTCTCTACTCTCCCCACCCTCTCCCTAGAAGGGCATCTGCTGTGTCCCCTCCTCCTCCAGGGCCCCTCCCAGCCTTTCAGTCTATCCCCATAATATGGCCGATGCTCTGCGGATTTTCAAGCCCCTCAGCAGCGGCTGCTGCAGGAAATAGGGGGTGCAGCTCTTTGCTCTCTGTCTAGCACTTACTAACTGTCTGACCACAAAAGCCCCTGTTCCAAGGACATGGGAGGAGGACAAGGCCATCCTTAGTGACATTCAGGATGCAGAGCCATGGTGTGGTTCTTTTTTCATTTCAGTTTTGGGAGGTCATCAGCGATGAGCATGGGATCGACCCCACAGGCAGTTACCATGGAGACAGTGACTTGCAGCTGGAGAGAATCAACGTGTACTACAATGAGGCTGCTGGTGAGTAGCGGGATGTGTGTGCCCAGGAATCCTTGCTTTCCATGATGTGGGAGATGAAACGTCCCAGGAACATGCACGTGACAAAGGCATGCTTCTTGCATATTCATTTCAAATGCCAACTGCTGGAAAAACATGTTTTATGGTTTCCTAAGATTCCTGCCTGTTTGCCACGGCTAAGCACACTCAGGACCTCCTTTTTCTTAAAAGCAGAAAATCTCCTGTTCTCCTTTTGTCTCAGATGCTGGAATTGAATGCTGCTGTGAGTCCCTCCCCAAGCACAGGCCTGAGTCAGTTCTTATTTCCTGCAGGTAACAAATATGTACCTCGGGCCATCCTGGTGGATCTGGAGCCTGGCACCATGGACTCTGTCAGGTCTGGACCCTTCGGCCAGATCTTCAGACCAGACAACTTCGTGTTCGGTATGTAGTCATGATCACTGGGAACTGGCCAAATGACACACCTTCTTCCTAACAGCCCTGCAAAGCACAGTTCTTAGTGTTCAGTGCCAAGGTGACACTGTGTCCACGGCAGCCCTGAGTCCTGGCCTAGCTCCATGCAGTCCATGGGTGGTCATGGCTCACAGATCAACGCCAGCCTGCAGAGGGCTGCTGCAGCCCTCCCATTGCAGAGCAGCCTCAGACTGGAAGGAAGAAAGAGCAAGGAAAAGCTTCAAGCCAGGCTTCATAGGCTATAGGCAACTTGAAAGGACTTCAAAGAGCCAGGGGCCAAAAGCACAGGTTATGACCAGAGCTAGACAGATGCTGAGGCCACCTTCTCTGCTGGTCACACTGCCTTCACCTTGCCTGTTTAATTGTAGTTGAGTATAAAGAGAATGCCTCTTAAAAATGTATGTATTTCAGAACCAATTAAGTTTTCTAACCCTATCCTCTTCCTCAATCAATAGCCTCAGATGAGCTAAACTTACTTCTTACTTTATTATGATCCCCAGTGTTTTTGAGGTCACTGACATAGAAAAATATTTCTTCAGGTAAAAGAAGAGTATTCAAAAGAGAAGAATCTGCCAGTCTAAGACCAGTCCTACCTTCTCCTCCATAGTCAAAATGACAGATTTTGAAATTCCTTATGTTTTAGTGTCTAATGTTCACTTTCCCTCTGGCAGGCCAGAGTGGAGCCGGGAATAACTGGGCCAAGGGCCACTACACAGAGGGAGCCGAGCTGGTCGACTCGGTCCTGGATGTGGTGAGGAAGGAGTCAGAGAGCTGTGACTGTCTCCAGGGCTTCCAGCTGACCCACTCTCTGGGGGGCGGCACGGGGTCCGGGATGGGCACCCTGCTCATCAGCAAGATCCGGGAAGAGTACCCAGACCGCATCATGAACACCTTCAGCGTCATGCCCTCACCCAAGGTGTCAGACACGGTGGTGGAGCCCTACAACGCCACCCTCTCTGTCCACCAGCTGGTGGAAAACACAGATGAAACCTACTCCATTGATAACGAGGCCCTGTATGACATCTGCTTCCGCACCCTGAAGCTGACCACCCCCACCTACGGGGACCTCAACCACCTGGTGTCGGCCACCATGAGCGGGGTCACCACCTGCCTGCGCTTCCCGGGCCAGCTGAACGCAGACCTGCGCAAGCTGGCGGTGAACATGGTGCCCTTCCCTCGCCTGCACTTCTTCATGCCCGGCTTCGCGCCCCTGACCAGCCGGGGCAGCCAGCAGTACCGGGCGCTCACGGTGCCCGAGCTCACCCAGCAGATGTTCGACTCCAAGAACATGATGGCCGCCTGCGACCCGCGCCACGGCCGCTACCTGACGGTGGCTGCCATCTTCCGGGGCCGCATGTCCATGAAGGAGGTGGACGAGCAGATGCTCAACGTGCAGAACAAGAACAGCAGCTACTTCGTGGAGTGGATCCCCAACAACGTGAAGACGGCCGTGTGCGACATCCCGCCCCGCGGCCTGAAGATGTCGGCCACCTTCATCGGCAACAGCACGGCCATCCAGGAGCTGTTCAAGCGCATCTCCGAGCAGTTCACGGCCATGTTCCGGCGCAAGGCCTTCCTGCACTGGTACACGGGCGAGGGCATGGACGAGATGGAGTTCACCGAGGCCGAGAGCAACATGAACGACCTGGTGTCCGAGTACCAGCAGTACCAGGACGCCACGGCCGACGAACAAGGGGAGTTCGAGGAGGAGGAGGGCGAGGACGAGGCTTAAAAACTTCTCAGATCAATCGTGCATCCTTAGTGAACTTCTGTTGTCCTCAAGCATGGTCTTTCTACTTGTAAACTATGGTGCTCAGTTTTGCCTCTGTTAGAAATTCACACTGTTGATGTAATGATGTGGAACTCCTCTAAAAATTACAGTATTGTCTGTGAAGGTATCTATACTAATAAAAAAGCATGTGTAGAAAACCTTGTGGTCTGTGTTCTCACTTCAAATAATTTTTATTCTTTCTCTAAATGCTTAAGTATAAAGTGTCAAGGTTTAACTTGCTACTGTTTTTATTGTGGTAATCAAAGTTTAATTTTAATAGCAATGTAGGATTTCTGCTTTAGTGTTTTAATTAATAACATTCCTGTCCTTTTAGTACAGAGTGATGAAAATACATATTTTGTTCACCTTTACTGGCCCAAAGTATTCATCTCTCAAAAGTGAACCAGGAGAGGGATATGGGGTAAAGCAAACCTGCCCCTATCTGCTGCTGTTCTGGACATCCTCTGATCTTAGAATTGAGGACCTCGGGCACGGACTCTCCCTACTTCTCTTTGAATATGATAGATAAACACAAATAAAAACACAAGTGAAGCTTGAACCTCTCAGATAAAAGGTACAGTACAAATTCAAGATGTCTTAAAATCTCCAACATTAACACTACACATTCTCCACCTAAAATTTATTTGAAAATAAATTATGGCAGGAATTCACCTGTTAAGACAATGGTATAACTTGTCACAACTTCATCTTAGAAAATCGGATTTAATTTTCATAGCTATTGAAGTTAGAGGCTTTATTCCTTTTTTATTTTTTTTTATGTTTTTATTTTTTTTTAAGACAAGGTCTTACTCTGTTGCCCAGGTTGGAGTGCAGTGATGCAATTACAGCTCACTGCAGCTTTGAATTGGGCTCAAGTGATCCTCCCACCTCAGCTTCCTGAGCACCTGGGACCACAGATGTGTGCCACTTCGCCTGGCTAATTTTGAAAAACTCTTTTTTGTAGAGCCGGAGTCTCCCTATATTGCACAAGCTGGTCTTGAACTCCTGGGCTCAGGCAATTCTCCCACCTCAGCCTCCCAAAGTGCTGAGATTATAGCTGTGAGCCACCGTGCCCAGCCTGAAGCTAGAGGCTGTTTTCAATATGTCATTATTCTCATTTGGTTAGGATAAGATTGAAGGGAGGGGTAGAAAGTTTCAAAGGCGGAGAGTTTCAAAGGCATCATGTTAACAGGCAGCAACACGATCAAGCCCCACACGAAGGAACCACCAAGACTGGAGTGTGCATTCTCATTGTAGGAAGTCTTCTGCTAACTTGTTGAATTCATCTGCAAAACGCAAATGCAGGTTGTGTTTGCCTTCTGGCATCAAATGCAGCCTAAAAAAGGAATTAAAAATACTTTGGGTCAATGGCCCACCACTTAAGAACAAACCCCTCACTCTCCCCAACATTTCACAAACATCTAAAGTGAAAAATTAACACATTTCCCCCATGACCACTATCGAGGAGAAAAATGTAACCCATCAATCTCCTAAGAATATAGTCAGACACGTGAAACTCTTGGAGTTTATGACTACCCTTGAGGTTGACTATAAGGCAATGACTTAACAGTAGCAGACACACATTATATTTGGAACTGAATCAAGTAACAAATGGTTTGACTGGAAAACGGACTGAGAGTGGGGGAGGTGATCTGGTGGTTACTCTAGAAAAATCCATTTTAATGAAGCTGATTTTAAGAGAGAAGGTTGGTAAGAAGATAAAAATAAGAAATGTTCAGAATGCACTGGGATGGGGCAGGTGAGTTTCTTGGCGTGTTGATGTAGTGGGCAAGTGCAAAGCAGAATTCACAGCCATCCCCAGCCTGCTGCTCAAGGTTCCAAATCACCCTTCCATTTTTGGATTACTGAACAAATACATCTGAATACAAGCCGCCAGACAAATGGCTGTGAGGGTGGTGAGCCCATGCCAGCAGCCCTGTGCTCCAGGAGCCGCTGCTGCAGCTGTCACGGCTCAGCATTGTAGCAAACACACTGTCCTCGTAAGGCTTCTTCCTTTCAACAGGATTGTGATCAAATGGGACAGATTTACAGTTTCCTGAACAAATGCAGCCTTCTCTTTGTTCTACATTTGACTTATTAGCTACAAAAGTATAGAAACAGTAAAAGTGGTAAAGCTTCTAGGATGAAAGCCTAAGTTCAAGCCACTTTGTCTACAATGATAATTAGACATTAAAAGGACAATATTAGGGCAGAATGCGTTATCATGTTCCCTAATTTTTTGAGTTTCAATACTGGGGGGCTGACAGCTCAGAACCTCAGTAGGTGCGAGGGAGGAACTGTGGGGCAGGGAGCTGTGCTTGGAAGATGCTGGGCCTCTTCCAACTCAGCCACCACATTGGGGGTGGGAATGGGGTACCAAGAGAATCAACTTGAAAGGAAGACATATTGTTGGGACCTTTCCGAGGGCCTTGGAACATTAGTAATGCTATTACTAACAATCACGACATTCTAAATTCAACTTTAACACTATTCAGAAAAGAAGGATGAGTTGCACCCACCCCAGAGATAGGATCCCAGTTGCCTACACAAGGAACAGGGCTTGCAGGGACACTCAAGGCCTTTGTTTTCAGGAAACAGGAAAGAACGAATTGCCAAGGATGCTGCGAGGTCATAGAAGGTCACGTATAGGCTAAATTGCATCCCCTAATCTGCACTAAGCTGGACTGGGAGGCAGGGAATCCCCAGCCTGCCACATGTGAAGTCTTTCTCTGTAGACAGTCCAGCCTATCTGGCTATGATTTGTTGGTTTCCCATAAGGAAGGAAGGAGAACCTCGCTGTGAATCGTTTCTTTTTAGCCGTTCAGCACTGTCTGCACTCTTCCTAATCTCTAGATCTTGGGGAAATAAAAATGAGGTTCCCTTCATTAAAATATGGGAGACCTGCTCTGAATGCTGGATGGATGAATGGATGAATAGACAGATGGACAGACAGATAGAAGAGAGTATGAAGACAACTCTTCTCCTTGATATCTTTTAAGGGTCATTTCAAGCTCCTCAGCAGCCCTTGCCTCCTTTAGGTCTGACACAGGTTTCACTGCACAGAAACTCTGTTGTGTGTTCCTCTTTGGAAACAGGACCACAATAGATGGGCATGAATATTAGCTGTCAAGGCAAGACAGGAGCTCTAGATTCTCACCCAAGTAACAAAAAGATCTAATCACATGCTCTGTGGAGAGCACTTTTCAAACAATAACATTCTCCGAAAAATTAGTAGGAAACCCCCAACTGCTAAGCACATGGCTCAGTTGGAAACGAAGGGGCCTCAGAGGATGAACACGAGTTCCTCTGCCAGGGCAGGTTCCTCACTGCATGTGGCACCTTCAGAAAGAGACATGGTTCCAGATAGTCCAAGGAACTAGAAGCTGTCTAACCCCAAGGTAAATGTATGGGTCACTTTACCTCTGTTGATACAGCTCTTTTAGGTCAAAATGCCATAGGTGAGATGCTGGCCTCACGATGCTACCTTTCCTGCCCCGCCTGGAGCCCTTTTCATCTTTAGCTGAACTTTCATCTGTAACTCAGGGAGTTACAGACAGTAACAAGGCCACAAGTAACCTGCTGTGGCGTGCCTTCACCTTGGATCAATGTAACAAAACTTGATCTATGAATCCATGAAGTTGTCAGTGAGTCTGTAATCCGCAGAGTGCCAGTACGTACTTTTGTGTTTACTGGAACCCAAAGCAGGCCGCTGGATCTTTGCACAGGATCTCTTCCAGTGTGAAACTGGGCAGCAACATGGCATATCACTTCTTCAGGCATTCCTTCTGACGCCATCCAAACCTGGTTGCCAATAGCCCCTTTTTATTCAGAAACTAAATATTTTCCTTTTTCATTCTGCTTCTTCTAGAAAGCCCCACCTAAGAAAAAGGTACTAGACTGGGCACGGTGGCTCACGCCTGTAATCCCAGCATTTTGGGAGGCCGAGGCAGGTGGATCACTTGAGGTCAGGAGTTCGAGACCAGCCTGGTCAATGTGGTGAAACTCCATCTCTACCAAAAACACAAAAATTAGCCGGCGTGGTGATGCGCGCCTATAATCCCAGCTACTCGGGAGGCTGAGGCAGAATCACTTGAACCCAGTAGGCGGAGGTTGCAGTGAGCCGAGATCCCGCCACTGCACTCCAGCCCGGGCAATAGAGCAAGGCTCTATCTCACAACAAACAAACAAACAAACAAAAAGGTAATGGTCAAACCACAAGCTCCTTGCTGCTGATGAAGTTGGGGGCTGCCCTGGCTGGCCAGGCTCTCCTCTGGTTAGGGCTGACCAGGCATTTGGGGATGGTGGGGGCGACAGCTCACTGAGCAGCTCCATTTCTCAAAAGCAACCATGTCTCAAGCATTAGACACAAGCATTAGAAGCAAAACTGCCCCGGAGGCTACTTTCTGGGCAGTGTGGCGGCTTGAAGTGGGCTGCTAGAGGACCCTCGGGCTGCTGGGTTGGTGCTTTTAAGTGGTGTGTGGAGGACAAAGCCTTTCCAAATCTGCTGTGACTGTGGGGACCTAGTCGGGCCCTGGACTGCAGGAAAGCTTTCTTCCTGTGACATTTGGATGTAAACTGGAGGCATCATCGTGGGAGGAAAACACTGGCTTTACGGGGCCAGGACAGTTTTGTCTAACCAGCACAGAGTCCATACTGACAGGCTACATCCATCTCCCTGAGTCACAATTCCTCATCTGGAAAATGCGGACAGTAATAGAATCTACCCCATAGAATCATTCTGAGGATGAATGAGATAGTAGATTCAACGTATGCAGCATAGGGTCTGCGGGTACGTGGTAAGCTTAATAAATGTCTGCTGTTATTTTATTAGTATATTTGTATTGCACTTTACAATGTGCAGAATTCCTGAAGGTGTTAATCTGTGCAGCATATTAAACAATGACTGACTCAGGGGAGCACAATTAATCTACATTTGTTGGCTAACACAACACCTCCAACTGGAGGTTTCTTCTCTTAAGAGAGGTTTTAATATAATCTTGCATGTAAGATTTGTCTGGAAAGGTTCAGACCACACTGTTTTTGAAATATTAATACAAAAGACTCAACTTGATAAGCACTGGCTAATTCTGTGTGCAGTAAATCCTGTAACGAGCCCACAAGCAGCGTGTGGAGCTGATGGTTTTCCCTTCCACCTGAGCAGCAGCTGGGAGGAGCTGAAAGCAGCACCTGGGAAGAGGAGGGCTGGGATGCCAGTGGTGGGGAACTGTCACCTGGGGCAGTAGCAGAGGAGCTGGCAAACCACTGCGTCCAGGCTGGAGGCAGTCCAGAACGGAAGCTGCAGCCCTGGCTGCCTGCAGCGTCTACCTCCCCACCAGAACCTGGCTTCACTTTTCTATGGAGCTGAAAATGAACCATTATCACTGGTGTGAATCTTTTCCACCTAAGCCAATTCATTTCACTCCACCTAGTGGTAAGGCTCCCACTGGCCTGCCTGGGAGGACTAGGGCCATCTTACCACTGGTGGCCAGACCCAAACAGCCAAGGAAGCTGCAGAAAGAGGCCCTTCCTTCCCTTCTGTGGTCCAGACAGAGGAGAGTAACTAGCCCACTGCACAGACATCCCAGGCCTGATCCCTCGCTGCCAGCCTGCCAGCACACCCTCTGGTGAACCCAACACAAGGCCCAGACCTCTGTAGAGATGGCATCCATCAGCCCTTCACCCTGTGACTGTACACTTTGTGTCAACTTGACTGGGCTACAGGGTGCCCAGATATTTGGTCAAACATTATTTCTGAGTGTGTTCATGAGGGTGTTTCTGGATGGGTTAGCATTTGAATCCACTGACTGAATAAAGGCAGAGGCCCTCCCCAGTGTGGTGGGTCTTGTCCAATCTGCTAAAAGCCTGAGTAGAACAAGAAGGCTGAGAACAGGGAATTCCTTGGCCTTCAGTCTGCGATATTGGCTTTTTCCTACCTTTGGACTCAGGCTGAAACATTGGCTCTTCCTGGGTCTCAAGCCTCCTGGCTTTCACACTAGAACCACACCATCTCCTCTCCTGGCTGTCAGGCCTTCAGACTTAGACTGGAATCACACCTTTAGCTCTCCTGGGTCTCCAGCTGGCCAACTCACTCTGCAGACCTTGGGACTTGTCAGCTTCCATACTCCATGAACCAATTCCCTAAAATGAATCTCTTTTTTCTACCTATATATACATACACACATATACGTCTTGTTGGTTCTTTTTTTTTGGAGAACCCAAATATGCCCATATACCTACACTAATAATGGTGTTGTCTTAGCTATTCAGGAGGCTGAGGCGGGAGCATCCTTTGAAGTAAGGAGGTTGAGGCTGCCAGGAGCTATGATCGGGCCACTGCACTCCAGCCTGGGCAACAGAGCGAGACCTTCTCTTAAAAAATTTAAAAATAACACAAATAATAATGGTGCTGAAAGTTGGAACAGATGGCAACTTGCCTGACCTAATTTCAAGCTATGCCCCAATGTCCTCTGGGGGCCCTATTCACCTGTATCCATGCCAGCATTCCATCCTCAAAAGTGGCAGCTACTGTCTGTTGAGTATTTTTTATTTATTTATTTATTTTTCAGGTGGGGTCTCATTCCTACACCCAGGCTGGAGCGCTGTGGCATGATCATGGCTCACTGCAGCCTCCACCTCCTAGGCTCTGGTGATTCTCCTACCTCAGCCTCCTGAGTAGCTTGGACTACAGGTGCATACCACCATACCTGGCTAATTTCTTGCTTTTTGTAGAGACGAGGTTTCAGCATGTTGCCCAGGCTGGGTGTGTTAAGTCTTAAATTTAAGTCCAAATGTACAAATACCTCCTCATTCATTCCTCAAAAACTATCTTGAGATGATAGGTATTGTCATGCTCATTTCACACAAGAGGTAACAGTAGTACAGAAATATTACATCCAGCACATGGTGACCAAAGGAGCACTCCAACCCGAACCAGCACTCGCCCAAACCAGCACTCCGACCCAAACCAGCACTCCGACCCAAACCAGCACTCCAGCCGGAACCAGCACTCCAACCCGAACCAGCACTCCGACCCAAACCAGCACTCGACCCAAACCAGCACTCTGACCCAAACCAGCACTCCGACCCAAACCAGCACTCAACCCAAACCAGCACTCCGACCCAAATCAGCACTCAACTGGAACCAGCACTCCAAACCACACCAGCACTCCACCCCGAACCAGCACTCCGACCCGAACCAGCACTCCACCCTGAACCAGCACTCCACCCCGAACCCAAACCAGTACTCCACCCCGAACCAGCACTCCCGACCCAAACCAGCACTCGACCCAAACCAGCACTCCGACCCACACCAGCACTCCACCCCAAACCAGCACTCCAGCTGGAACCAGCACTCCAACCCGAACCAGCACTCCGACCCAAACCAGCACTCCGACCCAAACCAGCACTCAACCCAAACCAGCACTCCGACCCAAATCAGCACTCAACTGGAACCAGCACTCCAACCCACACCAGCACTCCACCCCGAACCAGCACTCTGACCCGAACCAGCACTCCAACCCGAACCAGCACTCGACCCGAACCAGCACTCCGACCCGAACCAGCACTCCGACCCGAATCAGCACTCCAACCAGAACCAGCACTCCAACCCACACCAGCACTCCACCCCGAACCAGCACTCCACCCCGAACCAGCACTCCACCCCGAACCAGCACTCCAACCCGAACCAGCACTCCGACCCGAACCAGCACTCCAACCGGAACCAGCACTCCAACCCACATCAGCACTCCACCCCGAACCAGCACTCCAACCCGAACCAGCACTCCACCCGAACCAGCACTCGGACCCGAACCAGCACTCCACCCCGAACCAGCACTCGACCCAAACCAGCACTCCGACCCAAACCAGCACTCCAGCTGGAACCAGCACTCCAACCCGAACCAGCACTCCAACCCAAACCAGCACTCGACCCAAACCAGCACTCCGACCCAAACCAGCACTCCAGCCGGAACCAGCACTCCAACCTGAACCAGCACTCGACCCAAACCAGCACTCGACCCAAACCAGCACTCTAGCCGGAACCAGCACTCCAACCTGAACCAGCACTCGACCCAAACCAGCACTCGACCCAAACCAGCACTCCAGCTGGAACCAGCACTCCAACCTGAACCAGCACTCGACCCAAACCAGCACTCCGACCCAAACCAGCACTCCACCCCGAACCAGCACTCCAACCCGAACCAGCACTCGACCCAAACCAGCACTCCGACCCAAACCAGCACTCCGACCCACACCAGCACTCCAACCCACACCAGCACTCCAACCGGAACCAGCACTCCACCCTGAACCAGCACTCCACCCCGAACCAGCACTCCACCCCGAATCAGCATTCAAACCCAAACCAGCACTCCACCCCGAACCAGCGCTCCACCCTGAACCAGCACTCCACCCGAACCAGCACTCGGACCCGAACCAGCACTCCACCCCGAACCAGCACTCCAACCCACACCAGCACTCCACCCCGAACCAGCACTCCACCCCGAACCAGCACTCCACCCCGAACCAGCACTCGGACCCGAACCAGCACTCCAACCCACACCAGCACTCCACCCCGAACCAGCACTCCACCCGAACCAGCACTCGGACCCGAACCAGCACTCCACCCCGAACCAGCACTCCACCCCGAACCAGCACTCCACCCTGAACCAGCACTCGACCCAAACCAGCACTCCGACCCACACCAGAACTCAAACCCAAACCAGCACTCCAACCCAAACCAGCACTGCAACCCACACCAGCACTCCAACCCACACCAGCATTCAAACCCAAACCAGCACTCCAACCGAGGTCTGAGTCCCCTGCTGGTGCTCTTAACCCCTCTCCCTCCCCTTTAGTTGACACGAACTTAAGATGCCAACTCTGTGCCACATGGACTTTCCCACCGGGTCTGGCCCTCAGGCCTGGGCTCAGAATACGCGGCTGGTCCTGCACTGGTGACCCCAGCCCATCCACAGAGACATGGCCCTCTGTGCACCTCTTGCTCTCCCTCTCTCTCTTTCAACATGCACTGAGCATGTTCAGATGCTCTAGACCACATCCTGGGATAGGCGGTGGAGTGTTCAACATGGGAAGAATTGCATTCACGTTAGCAGCTGTTAGAGATATGAATAAAGAGGCTGGGTGCAGTGGCTCACACCTGTAATCCCGGCACTTTGGGAGGCCAAGGCAGGAGGATTGCTTGAGCCCAGGAGTTCAAGACCAGCCTGGACAACACGGCAAGGCCCTTTCTCTACACAAAATACATACACAAAAAATTAGCTAGGAGTGGTGGTACGTGCCTATGTCTGAGCTACTTGGGAGGCTGAGGTGGGAGGATCACTTGAGTCCAGGAGTTCAAGGCTGCAATGAGCCGTGATCACACCACTGCACTCCAGCCTGGATGACAGTGCAAGCCCTGTCTCTTAAAAAAAAAAACAAAAAAAAAAAAAAAAAAGAAGAAGGCCAAGTGCAGTGGCTTATGCCTGTAATCCCAGCACTTTGGGAGGCCGAGGCGGGTGCATCACGAGGTCAGGAGATTGAGACCATCCTGGCTAACGCCGTGAAACCCCGTCTCCACTAAAAATACAAAAAATTAGCCGGGCGTGGTGGTGGGCGCCTGTAGTCCCAGCTACTCGGGAGGCTGAGGCAGGAGAATGGCAGGAACCCAGGAGGCAGAGCCTGCAGTGAGCCAAGATCGCGCCACTGCACTCCAGCCTGGGCAACAGCGAGACTCTGTCTCAAAAACAAAAAAAGAGGAAGAAAAAAGGTATAAGGAGCCACATGACCTCAGATAGGTGAGCGAGCAACTGGAGGCGCATGCAGAGGCGAGGAAGCCTCGCTGAGGAGCCGCCTGAGTCCTGGCCTAAGGGGTGGGCACACACCCAGGCAGGCAAAGGCAGGAGCTGAGGGGTGGAGAAGGGCCGCAGGCGAGAGGCGAGGGACTCATCGTTTGCAGTCGAGTCTGAAACCCAGAACCGGGCCTCTGGCTCCTGAGATCGGAGCACCTCCTCAGAAGCACTGTGATGGGCTGAATTGCACCCCTCATATTGATATGCTTAGATCCTGACCCCCAGCATCTCAGAGTGTGACCTCCTTTGGGTAGAGTGTTTAAAGAGGTAATTGATTTGAAATGAAGTCATATGAGTAGGTCCTAATCTATTACGACCGCTGTACTTATAGGAGGAAATGTGGACACGGGAGGCAGAAAGGCAAAGCCTGCTCCCCATCACTGCTGTCGTCTGAGCAGCTCTCATAGTGTGTTTCGTATCTCAGACTGCAGCACAAGTGCTTGTTAGAGGAAGGGCTTCAACCGACTAAAAACACATTTTAAAATCACTGAGCTTGAATGATCTCTAAGGCCTCTTTGCTTAAAATAAAAATAAGCGATTCTTATTTTTCTTCTACCACAAAGAGAGAAGAGAGAAAGAGACAAATTAACATAAGCTGGAAGCAGACCTGCTGAGCAACTCCACCCTTTGTTCAGCCTCCTTCTGAGGCAAGAAAGGCAGTTTGGTGTTTGCTTCACACATAATCTGTATTTCTTGGTAAAAATCTGGGAAGGGATAGTCTGTGCCTTTAAGTGTTTTTTTGTTTGTTTGTTTGTTTTTCAGAGAGGGTTTCGGCTCTTGTTGCCCGGGCTGGAGTGCAGTGGCGTGATCTTGGCTCGCTGCAACCTCTGCCTCCCAGGTTCAAGTGATTCTCTGCCTCAGCATCTTGAGTAGCTGGGATTACGGGTGCCCACGACCATGTCTGGCTAATTTTTGTATTTCTAGTAGAGACGAGGTTTCACCATGATGGCCAGGCTGGTCTTGAACTCCTGACCTCAAGTGATCTGCCCACCTCGGCCTCCCAAAGTGCTGGGATTACAGGTGTGAGCCTGTAAGGGTGTTTTTCTCCTATACTGATGTACTGTGTTGCTAGGAGATGGGCCTAAATTAAACTTTAATTCCTAAATTAAACTTTCTTGTAGACTGACTTTAATTGAACCTGGCTCTTTAAGGGCACATAACACATTTACTATGTGTGTCACTGTGCAAAACCTGTCATTTCTGAAGCTGGAAGACAATTAACCAGGTCACCTGGTATCTTATTCTAGGCATGTTACCATCATACATATTAAGAGATAAGTGGCAGCTGTGCTATGGTGGAAAAGCACCATATTAGGAGAAAAATCTAAGATTAATTATTTACTAGCTATACAACCTTGAAAGATTGCTTAACATCTCTCAGCCATGATTTCTCATCTGTAAAATGGATAATATTTTTCATAAATATGTCATAAACTATAACTAGATACTATATATAAAATACCTTTTAAAATATTAAGTGCTATATGGAGATATCACTTTGTACACTGCAAACGTATACAATCAAAAGCACAAAAACTGAGATTGTATAAAAAACTTTTGCAGGCCGGGCATGGTGGTTCATGCCTGTAATCCCAGCACTTTGGGAGGCCAAGGTGGGTGGATCACAAGGTCAAGAGATCGAGACCATCCTGGCTAACACAGTGAAACCCCGTCTCTACTAAAAATGCAAAAATTAGCTGGGCGTGGTGGCGGGTGCCTGTAATCCCAGCTACTCAGGAGGCTGAGGCAGGAGAATCACTTGAACCCAGGAGGCAGAGGTTGCAGTGAGCCGAGATCGCGCCATTGCACTTCAGCTTGGGCAACAAGAGTGAAACTGTGCCTCAAAAAAAAAACAAACAAAAAAAACTTTTGCAAGGATTAATAAGAAAGTATACTACTGGAATTTTGTACCATGACCATAACTTAGTATTATAATTTTATAAAGTCTAGTTTGAAAATACCTTTTATTCGCTACTAAATAAATTTATACTTATTTATTTATTTCTGAGACGGAGTCTCACTCTGTCACCCAGCTGGAGTGTAGTGGCATAATCTTGGCTCACTGCAACCTCCGCCTCCCAGGTTCAAGCGATTCTCCTGACTCAGCTTCCTGAGTAGCTGGGGTTACAGGCACCCGCCACCATGCCCGGCTAATTTTTGTATTTTTAGTACAGATGGGGTTTCGCCATGTTGGCTAGGCTGGTCTTGAACTCCTGGCCTCAAGTGAACCGCCTGCCTCAGCCTCCCAAAGTGCTGCAATTACAGGTGTGAGCCACTGTGCCCAGCCCCTACTAAATCAATTTAAAAACTCCAAGCTGGGAGTGGTGGCTCATGCCTGTAATCCCAGCACTTTGGGAGGCCAAGGCAGGCGGATCACGAGGTCAGGAGTTTGAGACTAGCCTGGCTAACATTGTGAAACCCGTCTCTACTGAAAATACAAAAAATTAGCTGGGCGTGGTGGCGCACACCTGTAATCCCACCTATTTGGGAGACTGAGGTGGGAGAATCGCTTGAACCTGGGAGGCGGAGGTTGCAGTTAGCCGAGATCGTGCCACTGCACTCCAGCCCAGGTGACAGTGCGAGACTCCGACTCCAAAAAAAAACCAACTCCCTCATTAAACCTCTTTGTCCACCCGCAGTATAATCCTGCCTAACTCCCACCTTTGCTCTTCACTGACTCTATGCTCTTACCAAATGAATTATTTGTTATACAGGCTCATGTGTATTTTTGATTCATGGTTGAAGTGGTATAGGAGGAATGTGTGGAATAAAGAGATGCCTGTTAACTTAAAAAATGCTAAATGGATATAGCACTATCCATTATGGATATAGTAATTATAAAGGTTTATGGTAATTGTATTTTATTATAGAAAAGAAACTTTTTTTCCTCCTTTAAAAATTCTCTGAGAAATCTGTTGTTAAATACATCATAGAACAGAGCGAGAAGGGAGCAGTGGAGCTGTTTCTGTGCCTGCTTTCCCTGCTGGCCTGGGGGCTTTAGGGACAGGGAACACTACCATTAACTGTGCTGAGTAGGGCTGGCTGTCAGCAGACATCAGAAATTTGGTTTAACAGATTTTTTTAAATTGGGTGGTCAGTGCTTTTATAATGATAAAAAACTAAACTGAAAATTCCCAAATTGTGTGAAACTGTTTCGGTTAATACTGATGGAAATAAATCTAAACTATTACCAAGTGACAGGGCTTAGCACCTATGAGCATGTTTGCCACTCATGAAAGTAAGAGCTGTCTATCTGAACATGCCTTTCCTTCTGGTTATCAGTCACCCACAGTTCAGGGCTTCTCTCTTCCGTGGTACCCTAAATAAAGCGGTGCTACTGACTGGCATTGGCAAAAGGGGGGCTGTGCACTCTAAAACTCCAACTCCTCTTGGTTATTTTCCTTCCAGTAGCTTTGCCCATTGACTCCGAGGCTCTCGGGGGGAGTGTGAAGGCGGTGACAGGACTTACCGTGAGCCTTTCACGTGCTTATGAATGAAGTCGGCATGAAACCGTGGGACCAGAGGATCCTTCTCACCGTGCACAATCAAGGCGGGGCACTGGACCCGGGGCAGCAGGTGCCGGCAGATGTTACCTGACGGATACACAGCACGAGGAATCTGCTTTAGTGCAACCATTCTACGCGGTCAGAGGAGGCGAAACTCGGCGAGCCCTGCCCCTCCTTGGCCCTCAGTTTCCCTATCCGTAAAAACTGTGTTTTGGATTTGACCGTGCCTGGGATTCCTTCCAGCTCTAACATTCTTTGGGTTCCCTTTTCTGTTTCTCTCTGTTTCTTGTTTGTTTGCCTGTTTCTGAGTTCTACTAGTAAATAAGCAGCCTGATTTAAATTCGCATAAAATAGTAGGAAAATCAAATAAACACCCCACCACTATATTCCACAGTGGCGGTTCCCACCGTGAAAACAGTGGTAGGTGCTTGACACCTGTAGAGCTTTTCCCTGGAAATCACGTTTCAGATGAGTGTAGGGGCCCCGGCCAGCCCTCAAAGCATATGAACCTCACAAGGAATTAATTATACAACTTGCGCACGGTAAAGCAGCTTCTCCTTATCGCTGATGCATCTGTGACACTCCTGACTAACATACTTTGGAGAGACTGTAAGGACTTACCCCCATTTATGAGAACTTTCCTGAGGCAATGATGGACAGCCTGGGCCCTAGTCCCTGTACTGCAGTTTCCTGCCTCTGTGAGGCTGTGGTGGCTCCTTAACCACTGGGAGCTTCAGCCACAAACAGGAACAATCACAGTTCCCCGGGGCTGTTGTGGGGCTAAAAAGAGAGTTGCGTCTGCGGTTCCTGGCATCCCTAAGCTAGCTCTTTCCTTCTCCATTCCCTCTCCGTGTGTGTCAAGAGGAAGGCACTGCAGCTCTGAGAAGGCTGGGAGCTGCCCCGACGGGGCAGTGCTCCCCCGCCCTGCACGGGCCCCAGGCCTTTCCCTCCTCTTCAGTGGGAAGTCACTGCCTGCTAAGTGAGAAGCGGACCTGCTGACTAGGGAAATACTTCTCCAGGTCTCTGACACTTCCCTCTCCTGTCCCGAGATGACACACACCGGCCAGCTGCATCATCACGTGATGATCAAAGTCAACATGCCTGAGTGCTCACTTGGTGCCAGCAACTGTTTAAACAATTTCACATCTGTTAAACACAGTAGTTACATGTTTTAACTCATTCAGCATATAAAAATGTTTGTTCATTAAGGACTTCTGTAATAACAGTAATACCAACCTTTCACTAGACACTTACTCTGTCTTTGATCCTGCACCAAAGCTGAATAGATAATACCTCATTTAATCCCCACAACAACAGCTTTTCGAGGTCACAGATAGGAAACCGAAGCTTCAAGAAGCTAAGTTACCTGCCCAGATCCATTCTAACAGCAAGCCGGGGACACAGGCAGAACTCACACTCAGGGCCATCGCACTCCAGAGCCGTGCAATGCAATGAATCCCTACACTATACCAAGCATCCATAAACCTGAGAGGACAGTCGGAAAAGAGGGCTCCTACCAAATGAGTCAGCACAGAAGGGGGACGCATCACGAAGGCCCTCGCTGTGAGACAGTTTATACACTGCTACAGCCTCTGTATCATGAACGTATTTTTGAATTGCTGATTTAACCCTATTTCCACCTTTAAATCTTCCTGTCTTTTCACTACTCTCTTCAACAAAACATCCAAGTTTACATTTTACAAATGTGCCCTCTTTAATGGAGAACTGTCTCAAACATCGTTTCATGGCATTTTTTTGTTTTAAGAGCAGAGATTTCCAGGGCCTGTCTCCATGGGTGGATGCTGCATCTGAACAGAAACATTATAAGGCATACATTTGATATATTTGCTGTTTTCAACTCAAACCAGAAGAGTAACATTTCCAAATGTCCTTTTCATTGTGAAAGTTTTGGCAGATGATTCATGCAGGAAATGATTACCTAATGGATCAAATTGGTCCTTCAATCACAACCATTTTGTAACAATGCACTCCAAGATTAGATCTTAGCTACTCTATTTTCTCAGTAATTAAAAAAAAATGAGATTATAAACATAAACAGCTGTATGAAAATAAACTATAATTCAGAATTTCTCTTAAAGATGTCAATTCTTACTTTAACTGGAAATCTTGTTAATTTTTCAGATAAAGAATAGGAGGCTGGGCATGGTGTCTCAGGCCTGTAATCCCAGCAATTGGGAGGGCCAAGGTGGGCGGATCACGAGGTCAGGAGATCAAGGCCATCCTGGCCAACATGGTGAAACCCTGTCTCTACTAAAATACAAAAAAAATGTGCCTGTGTGGTGGTGCACGCCTGTGGTCCCAGCTACTTGGGAGGCTGAGGCAGAGCAATCGCTTGAACCCAGGAGACAGAGATTGCAGTGAGCTGAGATCATGCCATTGCATTCCAGCCTGGTGACAGAGTGAGACTCCATCTAAAAAAAAAAGAATAGGAGACATTTGTGCATTGTTCATGGTTACAGTCATATCACTTAGTTCTGAAGATGGAAAAAACAGAATATTTTCTTCCTCATATTAATTCCGTTGAGATTAAAGATTAACAGTGTCCTCGTGGGGAGACACATCTAAATGTGTAAAAAGGAAAAAATATTGTACACATTGTGGCCTATTTATTTTCGAATTACTCATTCTGGAATTAGAAAATAGAAACGGTTTAAGGCTTCTGGATAATTATTTTGTCATCGCACACACACCAAGGATTAGAAGGAAAAAAGAGCAGTCTGCTATTAAAGACTCAACAATGTGAACCTTTGGACACGCAGTCCTACCTCTCCGTTAAGCCAGATTGACTGCCCAAGAACTGGCACAGTACACAAGAACTAGTATTCTCTGTTCTGCTCACACATGAGCGTGTGAGGGCGATGGGCAGATTCATGAATCACTGAGCAATTCCAGAACACTGGGGAGGAACTCGAGCACCCTCTATAACAGGCAGAGAGCCCTTCAAGCCCAGTAACCTACCATCTGGGAGATGTTTAAACTGTCTTATGCCATCCACCCACTTTTCACAGGTTCTGGCAAAGTAGTCATACCCATAGAGGGCTTCTAGAGGCTTTCTTGTTCTCTCACTCCATTTGGAAACATCTCGGATGCCTGAAAAACAGAAGTGTAGGCGAAGAAAGGTTTAATTTCATACTAAAGTATTGTCTTTAAGTATTCTGAGCAAGAGCCACTTCTGAGCCCATGCGCTCACTGTCTCGTCTGCCTGGAATGCCTCCCTCCCTCCCTCTGCTCGGCTTAGCCCTGGTTGCTGCTTTGCGGTGCCTTCTGGACCCAGGGCTGAGTGCCTGCCTCCCACTAGGACCTGTGTGCAGTGTAAGGGACTTTGCTTTGCTCCCCACTGTACCCCAGGGCCTACACTAGTGCCTCCCACAATACAGGCCCACAAATCAATGCTTACCAAGTGGATGAAATTAGAGCTGCACTTACCGCTTTCCTTTAAAGATACAAGATAAAAGAAAATATGACCCTAACAGGGTCACCTGAGGAAGAGCGACAATGTTTGCAAAAGAGGAGTTTTTTTCTGCATTGCATTTGTATGGACATTGAAAAATGCACACAAATTATTCATTCTAATTTCTGCTACCGAAGAAATATGGGTGTAAAAGGCTAAGTACCAAACTTCAAACTGTATTATAGATGATTCACTAGTAGGGAAGAATAGCTAAAAACAACCATTAACATGAATCAACAAATGCAATTCCTTAGGCCAATGTTTTCTATATTTCTTTAAATACACTGTGATAAGTAAAGATTCTAATGCTCTTGAGCATATTAAATATTGCTTCCTGAGAGCTACACGTTACACATGGAAGAAATATAACACTAATGGCATGAACTCACATGAGCAACAATCTCTACAGAGTCCCGGACAACGTCAGGCACCTGGCAGGCACTCACTGTGTGCTTAGTGAATTCAAATCACCAAATGGAGGAAAAACTGCTATTTACAATCACAACTGCCTTCTGAGGAGGGCGGATCCCCCATTACAGGACAGTGCCTGGTGCCTGCCTTTGCTTCTGCTGACTGGCTTAAATATTCAGAGGTAGGCCCCGTGTGAGCTGAAGATAAAGGCTGAAGAGGATGAACTGCTCTGCACAAGAATGAAAAGACTTGAATGAGGTACGTGGAGACAGCCTGAAGAGGTGGGGAGAAGATGTAGGAAGAAGAAAACATTTGGGGGCGGAGGGTAAGGGAGAGAGAAGCAAGCAAGACAGTGTGAAGATGGCTAGCAAAACGTCCCTGCACATGCTTCTACTTTTGGCCGTATGGCAGACCATACCCTCTGAAAGGCCTTCTTGCAGGGGAATAACTAGATCTTTCACAAAACAGAATTCTGTGGCATTGCTGAAGTTGCAGTGGTTAATGGAAACCGGGGTGTGAGTGTGTATGAGTGTGTCTGCACATGAGAAACAGAACCCTGAAAATACAGCAAAGGAAGTAAGCCAGCTCCAAAGGCAGGCCTGCTCTGGGTGGAGACGCAGTGTTCGCAGGCAGGCCGGGGCCCAACCTGAGACTCCTGGATCAAGCTGAGCTAAAAATGGCCCCAACCTGGTATGATCCTGTGGTTCCCAAGAGCAACAAATGCAAATCTTCCCGGAAGGAAAGCGCTCTCGATTTATGCTCACTGCTTTGTTTATTTTCAGATTAAGAGTGAGTAAATATTAGCTCCTAACCAAAGGTCACAAAACAAACAGGATTTTTATAAAGTTAATAAAAAAACTAGAAAATTGGAAGACAAATCTTAAGAAATTATGCAGAACACCACGCAGAGAGACACGACGATGCAGAAGAGATAAGGAAGATGGAAAGACGAGGTTTACAAAAGTCCGCTCGTCTCAGAAGAAGAGAATAAGAATGAACGAGATGCCTATTTGAAGAAATAATGGGTGGGAGAGTTTTTCAGAATGAATCAAAGAATCCATAAACAAAAACGCAATGTATTCCAAACAGGACAAGTAAAATGAAATCTGCATTTGGACAGAATATATTAAAACAGCAATATATCAAAGGTAAGGAGAAAATCTGAAAAACAGCCAGAGAGTTAAGACACATCACTCCGAAGCAGGAACCACGTAGACGGACAGGAAACTTCTCAACAGCAAGGATGGAAGGCAGAAGACTGCAGAATGGGGGAGACAATGATTTTCCACTTCCATTTCCACACTCAGCTAAACAGACTTACAGAAAAGGTGGATGAAAGAAAAGACACTTGTTGGTAAAAACTGAGTTGACCATTAACAGGCTGCCCTTAAATAACTTCTAAAAATAACTTCAGGAAGAAGAGAAGATAAATGCTTTTAGAAGGAACATTTGAGAAGAAAGAACAGGTGAGTAAACAAATGGGCAAACATGTTGGTGGATCTAAAATCAAACAAAACCAGCCAAACCAATGAGAAAATAAAACATTGTGAGGCCGGGCGGCATGGTGGCTCACACCTGTAATCCCAGCACTTCGGAAGGTTGAGGTGGGTGGATTACTTAAGTCCAGGAGTTCAAGACCAGCCTGGGCAATGTGGCGGAACCCCGTCTCTACAAAAAATACAAAAATTGGCCAGGCGCGGTGGTTCATGCCTGTAATCCCAGCACTTTGGGAGGCCGAGGCAGGCGGATCACGAGGTCAGGAGATCGAGACCATCCTGGATAACACGGTGAAACCCCGTCTCTACTAAAAATACAAAAAAATAGCCGGGCGTGGTGGCAGGCGCCTGTATTCCCAGCTACTCGGGAGGTTGAGGCAGGAGAATGGCGTGAACACAGGAGGCGGAGTTTGCAGTGAGCCGAGATCACGCCACTGCGCAGCCTGGGTGACAGAGCGAGACTCCGTCTCAAAAAAAAAAAAAAAAAAAATTAGCCAGGTGCGGTGGCACACGCCTGTAGTGCCAGCTACTTGGGAGGCTGAGGCAGAAGGATAGTTTGATGTTGAGCAAGCAGGCTGCAGTGAGCTGAGATGGTGCCACTGCACTCCAGCCTGGGCAATAGTGGAGACCCTGTCTCAAAAAAAAAAAAAAAAAAGGAAAGAAAAGAAAAAGAAAAAGGAAAGAAAAACAAAACACTGTGGCATTTCCTTACATTAAGTAGTTCTGCCCATAAAGAAAAAGGCAAAAGCCACCCACTGTGAAGAGGTGCTTGCAACACAGTTACCCTAAAAGGGGTTACTGACTAGGATTAGAGTAACACTGGGATAACATTGAAACTGTTCTGGTGCTGAGTTGGGTGGACAGCGGCGGGGTCGTTTTGTTGTTACATTTCATACTGTATACCCAAACATACTGTATTGTGTGTATCAATTATTACATAACAAAAAACTTTTCACCAATAAAAATACATGGATATAATACAGAAGAAACTCAAATGGTGGATAAACACAGATTTTCAATCTTATTAGTAATACGAAATGCAAATTAAGACCCCAATAAGATAATATCTTACACCCATTTGATTGGCTAGTGAATTAAGAAGTCTGAGAATTTCAAGTTTTTGTTGAAGAGCTAAAAGTTAAGAATCTCATCTATTGCTGGTGGAAGTGTAAATTTATTTTGCTGGAAAATAATCTGTCACTTGTAATGTAGTCTACCTGCCCACAACACTCAGCAATTTCACTCATGGACTTAGACCCTAGAGAGATACTGTTGCTCCTACACCCCAGGAGACGGGTACAAGAACCAGCCGTCCATCTGTAGCAGAGTGGCCTGTGTGCTCACACGGGCAGTGGACACGGGGTGGCGGCGGTGAGGGCTTCCTAGAAGATGGAATGCTTGGGCCATTCTGGGAGAAGAGAAGTCAGCAAACAAGTGAAGGAGTGGGAAGGGAGCGGGAAGGGCCCACACAAGGAGGCAGGAGCCCGCCACCTGCTGCAGGGACCCAGGTGGTCTCGGATGGCTGGACACTGGTGGTTGGGAGGGGAAAGTGGGGGGAGGGGACCTGGAGAGGCAGAGGCCGGGCCACTCATTCCGTGAGCAAAGTGAAGGAGCCTGAACTTTATCAGGAAAGTTGTGGGGAGTCCTGGAAGGCTTAAAGTAAGACACCATGAGATTCACATATTGCTGAATTGCTATCAGAGCATCATGGAAGGCAGACTGGTAGGAGGCAAGGACCTGGACCGGTTGGAGAGGCACAGAATCAGCCCAGACGGGACCAACGAGGCTGGCGGGAGCCTGGTGGGAGGGAGAGAGGGGTAGGGCAAGATGGGGCCACTCAGAGCCCAGCAGAAGAGAAGAGTGCAGTGAGCTGCAGGCCGCAGTGTGGGGGATGTGGTCTGGAAGGTTTCCTCACTTTTGTGAGCCCCCGTTTTTCACTTGACAAGCAGGCTGAGAATCAGAGACCTTACATGGATATCACGTTGTTAAAGACTTTAGCTCACGGCAGGCACTCAATAAATAGTAATTAAAATATTATTTTCAGGGAGAAAGAGTATTATTTATAATGACAAGAAATTTAGCAGAAGGGACAGGCCTAGAGAGAAGATCATGAATTCAGTATTAGACAGACTGAATTTAAAGTAGGTGTGAGACAACCAGATAAGAAAATTGAATAAAAAGTTGAATAAGGCAACATAGTGAGAACTCGTCTTTTTCTTTTCTTTCTGTTTTTTTCTTTTGGTTGTTGTTGTTGCTGTTGTTGGGACAGGGTCTCGCCTCTGTCACCCAAGCTACAGTGCAGTGGTGTAATCACAGATCACGGCAGCCTCAACCTCCCCGGCTCAGGTGATCCTCCACCTCAGCCTCCCAAATGGCTGGGACTACAGGCACATGCCACCACACCTGACTACGTTTTGTATTTTTTTGTAGACACGGGGTCTTGCTACGTTGCCCAGGCTGGTCTTGAACTCCTGGGCTCAAGTGATCCTCCTGCCTCAGCCTCCCAAAGTGCTGGGATTACAGGTGTGAGCCACCACACCCAGTGAGAATTTGTCTCTTAAAAAAAAACAACAGTCGAACATGTGGGGTTTGGGAGTTAGGTGGAGCAAGGAGCTGAGTGAAGCTACTCAGGTGTGAGGTGTGAGGGTAAGAGGGGAGCAGAGCACTGAGGGTGACGCCTGGAGGACCCCAACACTGTGGCCCACATGGGGGAGCAGGCACGTGTCAGCCAGGGAACAGCCTGAGAGAGGAGGGAAGTCGGGAGAACACGGTGGCAAGAACTTCCAGACAGAGAAAGCTTCAAGAAGAGGGGTGTAACCAATGGCGCACACATCATGAGCATGTTCTCAAACGCTGCAGAATGACCAAGGAGCCAAGAGGAGGTGCGTGGTGGGGGCTTGGTCTCTAGCACACTGGCGGGCCACAGCCATCTTGACACAAGTTAGGAGAGGATGGGGGATGAAAAAGAAAGAGTAGCCAGGAGGGGAAGTAGCGAGACGTCAGAGAGTAAAGAGTGCTGCGCTACTGAGAGACTCTTGCTTTCATCAAGAAAGGAAAGTCAGAGCAACTGCACACAGTGAGTTCCCACTGCGGTGACCGAGGCAAGGGAGTAAGTGCTGACAGTGCCCGGGGTTGAAGGGCCGTGACACAGGCACGTGCAAGGTGTGGCGGGGTCCAGGAGGGAGAGCACCGCCAGGTCTCAGGGCTCCGGGACGCCATCCCAGACGCGGAGGCCCAAGGAGCTGTGTCAGGGGTGAATATGCCCTGGCAGAGGATGTGGCTGAGGGGAAGGCTGGTGCAAGCTGGCACAGCAGCAGTTGCAAAGGCGAAGAGGCATGAGGGGGAAGCTTGTTCCAGGAATGGCCATTTATCCCACGTGGGAGAGGCACCGGAAGGATGAGGAGAAAGGGGAGATGGGAGAATGTCCGGGGAGGGGCTGGCAGGAGGGGCCAGCCAAACTGCACGGACTTTGCTGGTTAGTGAAGGATTTTAAGTCCTCTAGTGGAATTAAGTGATTAGATTTTTGCCTTACAAAGGAAACTCTCCTATGGAGAACAAACTACCATATGAAGCTAGCGGCCTAAACCAGGAGAATGTGGGGAAAGAAGAGAGGTGAGGATAACTGGAGGGGTATTATGTAACAACAGAAAGCATCACAGTTCAATGAACAGGGCAAGGTGGGCAAATGAAGAGGGCAGAGGAGGACTGGGCCCTCGAGGGATGCATCTGGGACTCTGCCTGGATGCCGGGTCATCTGCAGGCCATGAACTGAGATAGTGATTATGGGAAAGAACAAGTGGGCAGGGGTCAGTGAGGAGAGTTTCAGTAGAGGGGGCTAGAATGGGCCAGAGAGGGAGATGGGGCAGAATGGACTAAAGAAGGAAGGAAAGGAGGATCCCTAGAAGCAGGGAATGCAGGTGGCTCTTTCCATAAGTTTGTGGGAAAGAATAAAGAATGGGAAGATAGTAACCACAGGTAGGAGTGGCAACTTTCTGGAGGAAGAATTGTGCCCACTTTTGCAGGCTGAGAGGACTGACCCAGTGGAGAGAATTTAAGGATACAGGAGAGGGAGGAAGAACTCAAGGCAGCCTGTCCTAGAGGCCGCGGGAGGGGACAGACCCTTCACAGAGCGGAATGGCCTACTGTGCACAAGATGGATACCAGGCAGGAGCAAAATAAGGACAAGCAGGAGCACAGACAGGACTGGCAACCACATCAGACTCACCGTAAGAGCTTCATATTCATTTAAAAAACAGAAAGACTGTGAAGAACTACAATTCTACAACAGAACGCTGCCACTAAGTAGCGTACTTAAAAGTCACGTGAATTGTCGAATAGCTGAAAAAGACTAGACTTGTGATATTCTAGCGAAGAGATCTGTACACCTTTTATGTAAAGGGCCAGAGAGTAAATAAATATTTTAGGTTTTGCTGGCCAAGAAGCAAAATCAAAGACATTATGTAGATACTTACACATGAGGAGAGAAAACACCTGACCCACCTAGTCCTAAGTGTCTGGGGCAGGCCATCTGGGATCCACTAGACTCACACTTGGACAAAAAGCTAGTGGCCTGAGGAAGAGGGTCCTGGTGGGCCAGGCTGGCAGGTGGGGGTAGTAGGGTAACGCAGGTCAGTTTCACTTCTTGTCCTAGCAACCCCTAGATCCTGGTGCACCCTTCTTTCCTCCCAAGAGCCTGGTCATCTCAATGGGGCAGCTTGCTGGAGGCTAAGCAACTCCTGAGTTGCTGACTGAAATTCCATGGCTGGGTGCCTGCTCATTGCCAACAGTCACCCCTGTGTAGTGACCACCAGTGCAGGTCTGGGGCAGCAATGCTGGGTGGTAAAGGGACACCCCAGCTTGGTCTCTGTGACTCACAGCACTAGCCACCTCGATTGGTACGTGGGCTGCACAAAAGTGGGAGGCAGGCTAGGTGTAATGCACAGGCTGAAGTTCACTGGCCCCTATTCCAGTGCCTGTAAAGACCTCAGGCTGGGCGTGGGGGCTCACGCTGGTAATCCCAGCACTTTGGGAGGCCAAGGCAGGTGGATCACCTGAGGTCGGGAATTCGAAACCAGCCTGACCAACATGGAGAAACCCCGTCTTTACTAAAAAACACAAAATTAGCCAGGCATGGTGGCACATGCCTGTAATCCCAGCTACTTGGGAGGGTGAGGCAGGAGAATCGCTTGAATCCAGGAGGAAGAGGTTGTGGTGAGCTGAGATCGCACGACTGCACTCCAGCCCAGGCAACAAGAGTGAAACTCAAACTCAAAAAAAAAAAAAAAAAACCTCAAAGACAGGCTTGAAGGACAACGTTAAAGCATGCAAATAGCACAGAAATTCTTTTAATCAAAATAAAAGGTTTCATATTTGTATCCAGTGATTCTTTTCCACACTCAACATTATTTTCTTTCCTCCCCCATCTCTCTCTCACTCCTGTCACCCAGGCAAAAGTGCAGTGGCACAATCATGGCTCACTGCAGCCTCGACCTCCTGGGCTCAAGCGATCCTTCTGCCTTGAGCTCCCAAAGTGCTGGGATTACAGGCATGAGCCACTGTGCCTGGCCTCACAGTATTTTAAATGAGATTATTAATAACACTTCACACCACCCCCTCCTTCCCTGAAGTTCATTATCAGTAGTAGTAAATAGAAATAGTGATTTTACTTAGCCTTTTCCTGAGCCATGGAAGTTTCACTCCTGGAAACAGAAAGCTTTAAAACTCAGACTGGTTAAACTGCATTACTTTTCTGAGAACTCGTTATTCTTCCTACCTGAGAGTTGAGAACTAGAAGCACGAGAGATGTGTCTTGTCAACATATCCCACAATAAGAGATGAGATGCGGAGAGAGGGGAAGGATCTGCCGTCCCGGCATCTCCCCTTCGCAGAACCTACCCTCATATATCATGCTGTCTTCGTCAGTGACGTAGGCGTTGGCGCCCCAGATCACCATCTTGTGGATGTAAGATGGATATTTTGCAGCAGCAATGAGTGCGGTTATGCCCCCATCACTCCACCCCAGCAGAGAAACCTTCTTAAACTTCAGCGCCTATGATCATACGACAAAATGCACGGCACGGGTTATTGCTCCTCTCTGTTAAAAGAAACTGAATCACTAATTATCAGAATCAATACAGGTGTGAGGCTGGAGTATCAATTAGTCAGAAAAGAAAAACCCTAGAGTCCACCATTTGATGACATCATGTTTTCTCTTAATTACTTTTAGTGGAAATTGTCACAAAAACCTGAGCATACGGTATGGGTTTGAATTAGGAGGGAACTACATCTTCTGGTTGGATAAAAAGCTCAAGGAACTAGAATCAATGGAGACCAAGTACTTAAATATGACAAATACAGCATACGTGTGTATGCGTGTGCACGTGTGTGCATATGCATGCCTGAGCAAGGACCTTGAGAACAGTTCTGTAGATCAGAGAGGGGACCCTGAGCTCTGCTGGATGGAGTGAAGCAGGGTATCTGGTAAAGCAACTGTGGGAAGAACTGGCAAGAGCCAGGCTGTCAGAGAACAGCGTCATGGGGAGGTTGTGTGAGTCCGCGGGTGAATCAGAGAGGGTCTGGACATGCGTTTGGCAGGGAAAATGGACAAAGATTACATCTTAGAGAGGCCGCCAAGAAAAAAGAATGGAATGACTGGAAAATTAAAGGTAAAGAATTAATATTACTCCAAGATATTTGCTGCCCGGACCATAAAATGGTGTAACTACTGTGGCACTATCCTGCAAAATGAACATCTGGAACTTCCATCACCTAGCAAATTGTCTCCTAAATGTGTATGAAATTCTCCCTGTGTGCCAGGAGCTCAGTCCAGGATGTCCACAACAATACTGTTTATAGTGGCAAAAAAATGAAAATGCCCACGAGCAACAGAATGTTCACTGCCTGCTATTTATAACAGCAGAAAAAGGCAACTTAAAAATTAAGTTAATTATCTACTATTAGAAAACTGGTGAAATAGGCCAGGTGTGGTGGCTCATGCCTGTAATCCCAGCACTTTGGGAGGCCAAGGTGGGTGGATCATGAGGTCAGGAGATCGAGACCATCCGGACTAATGCGATGAAACCCTGTCTCTACTAAAAATACAAAAATTAGCTGGGCATAGTGGCATGTGCCTGTAATCCCAGCTACTCAGGAGGCTGAGGCAGGAGAATCGTTTGAACCCGGGAGGCAGAGGTTGCAGTGAGCCAAGATTGCGCCACCGCACTCCAGCCTGGGTGACAGAGCAACACTCTGTCTCAAAAAAAAAAAAAGAAAATTGGTGAAATAAGATACAGTACATCCATACAATGGAATAATATGTGCCTATCATACAACTAGTATAAATGCATATTTATTGACATGAAAGTTATTTCCTTGAAAAATTGTTCAACAAAAATAGTAAGTTAGAAAAACGTTAGGTGTAGCACGATGCCATCAATATGAAACTGCGTTTGTGATGTAATAAGACTGGCCAGAAAGCAGAGCCGCCAAGATTTGGTAGTGTCTCTAGAGAGCTGGACTGTGGGCTATTTCTACTTTCTTCTTTATACCTATTTGAACTCTTGGGGTTTTCTATAGCAATCACATGGTATTATTTTGTAGAAAAATATAACAACAAAATTTAAACAAAATAAATGAAGACAGGCCCAGCCACCCTTCCTCCCCTGGCCCTTCCCTCAGAGACCTACCTTCATCAAATCAACAGCATCTTTTGCATCCCTTTCAAAAAAGTCTGCTGGGAAATCGCGATCTGGGGGCCTGGAATGTCCATAGCCTCGAGGATCCCAGGCGACCACCGTGAAGAGCTTCTTATTGAGGTTCTTGAGCTGAGGTCCAAAATCAGTCTCTCCACTTCCTAAAAACAGCCACTTGGTTACCCTCAGGTGATCGCTTTCACTATCAAACACATTACAGTGAAAACAGAAGCAATAACAATCTTAAAAGCAAAGTAGTTTCTACTCAAAGTGGTCAGAATGTAATCAGGAAAGCAGCCTTGCAATGACTTAATCCATCCACTCGAAGAAAGGAGGCAGGCTGACCGGGTGCGCCTGTAATCCTAGCACTTTGGGAGGCCGAGGCGGGCGGACTGCCTGAGCTCAGGAGTTCGAGACCGGCCTGGGCAACACGGTGAAACCCCATCTCTACTAAAATACAAAAAAAAAAAAAAAAAAAAAATGTAGCCGGGCATGGCGGTGTGCGCCTGTAGTCCCAGCTACTCAGGAGGCTGAGGCAGGAGAATTGCTTGAACCCGGGAGGCGGAGGTTGCAGTGAGCCCAGATCGCGCCATTGCACTCCAGCCTGAGCACAGGGCAAGACTCAGTCTCCAAAAAAAAAAAAAAAAGGGGCCGGGCGCGGTGGCTCACGCCTGTAATCCCAGCACTTTGGGAGGCCAAGGCGGGCGGATCGCTTGAACCAGGGAAGCAGAGGTTGCAGTGAACGGAGATTGCGCCACTGCACTCTACCCTGGTGACAAAGTGCGACTCTGTCCCTCCACCAAAAAAAAAAAAAAAGGAGGCGCGCTTCCTTTCCCGGCGGAGTGCAGGCCTGCCTCCGACCTCCCCCTGGTGGCTATTTTGAGAAAGACAGAGGCCCTGGGTCTTCCTTTGCTTCTGTATTATTTCAGCACTTTTGAAACCTCTTTGGCTTAATCTTCCTTTTCTAAAGGAAAGAATTAATGAAACTGTATACAAATTAATTCACAGATATGCTTCTGGGTTATCTATTCTTCTTAAAACAATGACTTACACATGAGAGGGATCTCTATAATATCTGCAAAGAAATTTATGAGATTTGGTCCAAGTTATTCAAAGTAGAATTCTAAAATTCCAGATTTTTAATTTTTTTTTTTTTTACTAAGCTAAGGTGAATAGCCTAAAGATTTTATTTTGTAGTTATAATTAAAAACCAGGAAAACTAAACAAAAACACTGAAATGCAGAAGGGGTATGGAGGAAAGAAACCAAATCAGTTTCATCAGAACAGTATGAAACAGCCCATGCTAAAAGCTGAATTCTATTAGTGGGCCTGCAGGGAGCTTGGCCGCTAGTCCACAGCCCACCACGTGGTCCCTGTAGGTGTGGTGTGTTCACACCTACTGTGCACAGTGCAGAAGGCCACTCTCACAGAGCCCAGTCCAGGGGCAAGTCAGCATTTTATCAGTGAAGTCTGCTGATTTCTGAGGACTTCTACCTCAGGCCACAAATGACTACTAACCACTTTGCCTGACAAACCATATTAGAAAATGTCTTTCAAGGTGGTGCAGGATCATTCAACATTGTCAAGGCCTATCATTTTTCCTGGCAAGATATATCTTTCCCAAGATCAAGTAAACCATTCAGAAAATTCAAGCCAAAACCAAATGAATAGATCTCCAGCCCACATCTGCTGCTGTGACCCATGAGGCTTCTCTTCTGCCTCTGACCTGGAGGGGTTCTGGCCACGGAAGTACCCTGAAGGAGGGGCAGGAGGTGAGAAGATGGGAAAAAAGAACAGTCTAAAAGACCAATTTCAGAAACAAGAAGGCATTTGCTCCCTGGCACACATGTACACATTTGAAGACCAGTGCCAAGAATATAAAACTTAAAAAAACATTTAAGGAATACATGTACATAGTTATCAGCATGTAACATCTGAGAGGCCTGTGGGGAGGGGAACTGGGTGCTGAGGATAGGACAGGAGAGAGAATCTCCTCTGGTCCATTTTTTTTAATATTGGAATCATGCTAATACTTTACATAAAAAAAAATTAAATTGGGGACAGGTGCTGTGGCTCATGCCTGTAATCCCAGCATTTTGGGAGGCCGGGGCGAGTAGATCACCTGAGGTCAGCAGTTTGAGACCAGCCTGGACAACATGGTGAAATCTCGTCTCTACTAAAAATACAAAATTAGCCAGGCATGGTGGTGCACACCTGTAATCCCAGCTACTCAGGAGGCTGAGGCAGGAGAATCGCTTGAACCTGGGAGGTAGAGGTTGTGGTGAACCAAGATAGTGCCACTGGCTCCAGCCTGGGCAACAGTGAGACTCCCTCTCAAAAAAAAAAAAAAAAATTAAATTGGTAAGTTTTTAGCACCTGGACAATGACTGCAATACCGAAATAATGGAAAGCTAAGATAGGCAATGTTTTTACAGATAACTTTAGCTCCCCATCAGCCATGAGAGTCAGTGTCCTTGTTCATCAGGTTAAGGAAAACAAAGGTACCAAACACCATTTAGACACACGTGCAACAGTGCCACGATCCGCTGAGGCTCAGTCAAGTGGAACCTTTTTAGCACTTCACTTTTAGAAAGAAGCAAATCACAAAGAAATAAGTACAGTCAGCCTTCCTATCCGTGGTTCTACATCTGTGGATTCAACCAACCTCGGAACAAAAATATTTCGGGAAAAAAATGGGTGGTTGGGTCTGTACTGAACATGTACAGACGTTTTTCCTTGTCATTATTCCCTAAACAATACAAAATAACAATTATTTGCACAGCATTTACATTGCATGAGATATGGTAAGTAATCTAGACATGACTTAAAGTATACAGGAGAACATGCGTAGCTTCCATGCAAACATTGAGCTATTTTATATCAGGGACTTGAGGATCCTCAGATTTTGGGATCTGAGGGCTTCCTGGATCCAGTCCCCCAGGAATACTGAGATTAAATATTAGGATTATTTAACTAAATCAAAAATAAAGCAACAATACTAACACCCTTAAAACCAGATTTCGGATGTACTGGAATCACTGCAAATTTTTCCCTTGAACTTTCTACATCTGAACTCCAGTTCTGCAAAATGAGATTGAGATCCAGTAGGCTTTATTATGGCCCATATATTGAGAGAGGGTAATATGCCAATCTAACTCTGATTTCTAAAAAGAATCAAACTGAGGTTTTTTTTTTCTTACCTCTTATTTTAACGGAATATATTATCAACCACAACAAGTGATCAATTCACTCTAGTTTTAGCACTGAAAGTCCCACATCCTGGAAAATCCCCCAACGCCAAGCAAACTAGGATGACTGATTACCCACTCACGTTCCTCCTTTACCTTCTTCCCACACCCCTTTCCTTGACCCCTGTCACCCTCCCAAATTATGGGCAACTGTGATTTCACAGAGTACTTGCAATAGGAAAAACTGGGTACTTTACTAAAGGAATAAAAAATCCAATTCTGAACAGCAGTAGAAAGTTACCTACTTTTCTAAGTCATTTAAGTTTGATTGTAGCAAATATGAAAACATTTCAAAAAAGCACTAAAATTAATCATCAGTATTTGGCATCTAGTATTGTGAATGCATCATAGATTTTACAGCATGCAAAAACATTCCATTAAAAAGTACCCAGACCTAACATCCCAGGAAGTAGCAGGACTGCGTGATCTCCCTCTCCAGTCTGCTGGTAATGCAGCTGAACGCCATTCACAGCCACTTTGGCAGAGGTTACCGAGGTGCTAGAAGAGAAAAAACACATCCCCACAGGGGGAAAGGGGAGATGGGAAGATTTCTTAGTTGATTCAAAATTCCAGCTAGACAGGAGGAATAAGTGTTAGTGTTCTACGCGCTGTAGGATGACTACGGCTAACAATAAGCGATAGTTTAAAATAGCTAGAAGGAAGATACTGAATGTTCCCAACACAAAGACATGATAAATGTTTGAGACGATGGATATGCTAATTACACTGATCTGATCACTACACCTTGTATCTATCGAAACATCACTATCTACCCCATAAACAGGTACACTTATGTCAATTAAAAAATAAAATTTGAAAAATGTTTAAAAATCCACCCCCAGAGGAAAATCATTTAACAGCACGAATTTAATATGATAAAACTGTCTTTGTATATGAATGAGTCGCCTCCAGAACGCCTCTCAGTCTCCTTGGGTTATTTCGATTTTTCCAATTCTGAACAGTGACATGAGTTTGAATTTTCTTTACTAGACTGCCGATCTGAACTGTGCCCTCATGCTTGAATACGCTATTGTGCCCAGCCTGGGGCTCACCCTACAAAAACCCTAGGCGGCTTGCTCAATCAATGGCCACAGAGGCTCATGGCACACGCCGGTGAGCTGGAAGCCAAGGGTCCTCAAGTGCAGGCTGGCGTGAAACGAGGGTGGACATCAGGGGCAGAGACCCTGGAGTCACTCGTCTGCACTCAGCAGGCCCAGAGGACCTACCCAGACCTTCAGCAGCCTTGGTGACATTCCCAAAGATGAGACTGGTCCCAAGGTCTCGATCTCCAGGCTGTTCTTTAGCTGTAGGGTATCCTGTGTTGTCTGGCCTGCTGCAGGAGGGCCATAGTCAACAGTGCCCATCTGCACGGATAAATCCTACTGTTTTTTAAGATGTTAAAATATGTCTGTGTCAACTGCTAAGTAGCCCTGTCCATAAGCCTCCATCTCAAGAGCCCTCCTTCCTGCCACTCACCCGCCTTGGCCTAAGACCTCCTAGGATCCAGCATCTAACTGGACCACACTTAGCACAGGACAACGCCTCAGGACAGGCATAATGCCAGTGTCTGTGCTGCCTGAATTATGGGTGCCGTACAGGTGTTCTGATTAACCTCTCCTCAGCTGCTCTTCGAGGACAGCCAGACTGTCCTGGGATATATACCAGTGGGGCACACAGACGGCCCCTGCACCAGGACCAGGCTCCATCAGCCTTCCCACAGCTTATCAGACAGATGACTGAGTGAAGCACAGGAGGGACATGATGGCAAGCCAGGACAGATGCCAGAAGGAGGCGCTCTCTTCTCCTGGTGGAGTGCCAATACAATGAAATCAACCACCATCTCCTTTTATTTTTATTTTTATTTATTTATTTTTTGAGATGGAGTCTCACTCTGTCGCCCAGGCTGGAGTGCAGTGGCGCCATCTCGGCTCACTGCAAGTTCCACCTCCCGGGTTCACACCATTCTCCTGCCTCAGCCTCCCAAGTAGCTGGGACTACAGGCACCCGCCACCACGCCCGGCTAATTTTTTTGTATTTTTAGTAGAGACGGGGTTTCACCCTGTTAGCCAGGATGGTCTCAATCTCCTGACCTCGTGATCTGCCTGCCTCAGCCTCCCTAAGCGCTGGGATTACAGGCCCGGCCCATCTCCTTTTTCTTCTACATACTCTCTACTCCTACCTCTGCCCTTAGTCAAAGGATAACTGAAACACAGCCCTTTTGAAAAAATGAGGTCCTGTTTTATCTTTTGGTTTAATCTTATTTGCCAGTCTCAAGTAAAAAAGAAACAAACGTGGAAACAGATGTGTTGAATACAGGTACATCTACTCTTAACATACCATTTCTGGAAAAATAAAAGACAGAATTGGGTAGTAATAAGGTCTGACTAAACTATAAGCTCCTTATCTACAGAAATATTATTAAAGGGGCATCAATGAAGCCACCAAGCAATGGCAATACTGACTCTGCCATTTACTTATTATGATTACTGCCCTATTCCTCTGAGAAATTCATTTCTACAGTTAAGATAGCTTAGGATCGGCCAGGTGTGGTGGCTCACACCTGTAATCCCGATACTTTGGGCGGCCCAGGTGGGTGGATCACGAGGTCAGGATCACGAGGTCAGGAGATCAAGACCATCCTGCCCAACATGGTGGAACGCCATCTCTACTAAAATACACACAAAAAAATTAGCCCGGCATGGTGGTGCACACCTGTAATCCCAGCTACTCAGAAGGCTGAGGCAGGGGAATCGCTGGAACCTGGGAGGTGAAGATTACAGTGAGCCGAGATCGTGCCACTGCACTCCAGCCTGGTGACAGAGAGAGACTCCGTCTCAAAAAAAAAAAAAAAAAAAAAAAAAAAGAAACTGCTATTATCATATTGTATGTTCAGCTATTTCTTTTGTGTATGTTTTGTGAAGTAGCCATTATCTACAATAAAGTATTTGCTACCTTCAGGGCTTGAAATTTGCATGAATCTTGATGAATTATTTTTACATCTCTTATATATTGTACTATTATATAAATATTCCCATTGTGCCTACTAATTACTTCATGTTTATTATATCCCCAGGCTTTTACATTTATTGTTTCAAATCCTCACAAAAACGCTGCAAGGCAGGAGGCTCAGAGAGGTTGAACAATCTGCCCACACTCACAGAGCTAGGAAGTGGCCACGGGGCCATTAGAACTCCAGAGGCCATGATTCCTCTCTAACCTCATGGCTGAACAGAGTCCTAAGAGGGCTCAGGCACCGGGGCCACACTCTGACTGCCAGATACAGCGTGGTGGCAAGCGTCAGCAGAAGGACAGTCTCTGATTCTCTGGCAGGGCATCCCAAGGTTGAACTTGGAAAATATTTTTTAGGAAGATTGTTAGGTTATGTGAATTATTAATATTTATAACTGCACATAATATCCAATTTCAGGTAGAAAAGGCTTTTCTTGACCTGACCCAGGAATAAATCACCTTACGGATTTTGAAATAAGGGTCAAAGTTCCAAACAGCAGACTTACAAACAAGTTTTTGGAACAAAAGTCAGTTGTAGGTTGGGCACTGGCTATTCTGAAGCAAAGTTTTTACACGAATCCTTTTACCTACTGACACTGAGCTACAGCTGCATTTCAGGATTAACTAATACCACTGCTTGTTTTCCCAGATTATATGTCATATCAACTTGCAGCTGCATTTATAAAACGGCCGTACAAAATCCAGAAAAACCTGTTTCTTCAGAGATATTTTAGGAAGAATGATCTGCAATGCAACTAGATGGATGGGGCCTTCCTCAACCATTAAATAACCTATCAGAACTATACTGGTAGGCCGAGAGCGGTGGCTCACGCCTGTAATCCCAGCACTTTGGGAGGCTGAGGCAGGTGGATCATTTGAGGTCAAGAGTTCGAGATCAGCTTGGCCAACATGGTGAAACCCCATCTCTACTAAAAACACAAAAATTAGCCGGGCATGGTGGCAGGTACCTGTAATCCCAGCTACTCGGGAGGCTGAGGCCACGAGAATCGCTTAAACCTGGGAGGCAGAGGTTGCAGTGAGCGAGATCACAACACTGCACTCCAGCATGGGCAAAAGAGCGAGAGTCAGTCTCAAAAAAAAAAAGAACTATATTGGTACAATCACAGTAACTTATTTCGATGCCTTTCTGCAGACAGGAAACTGGAAAAAATAATCATTTTCACTGTTAATTTATACAGCTGTAGCCATTAACATGTTTTTCCATCTATCAAAATAGCCCTGACCATCTTATAATAATTCTAAAATTAAAGGAGCTAGTCAATTGCAATATGAAATTTTAAAAGCTGGTCAGATTTGCCCTCTTTTCTCCTTCTAAATCAAGTTTTCAAACTAAAAGTTTCTATGTTGGATCAAGTACAGTTCTAAACGCTGTGTACCTATCTAGTACTGACTTTATGAAAGTAGCCCATCAACAGTCAACTGCGCACATGCACTGTGTACGTTCGTTGTATACGTGTGTTTGCATGTGTGTAGGGATGTATGTAGAGAATAAAGTAAAACAAGCTTCATGCCGCTCTATCCACATTTCTGCCCAGTATCTCTTGGGACCAAGAGTATCCATTTTCAAGACAGAAGGTCAGAAATTAATCCAGTTTTTTTGTTATTGTTTTACCTGAAATGGGGGGACAGGTGGGAGGACAAAAGAGAATAAAGCAGATTCCTGGGCATCTCCACACATGTAGATCAGATCCTCTGGGAGTGAGGCCCAGGATTCTGAATTTTCAGTTCCCAACGTGATTCTTTTGCACATTAAGGTACGAGATCAGCAAGCAAAGAGAAGACTTAGGGCTCTCGGGACCCGTGATTAAAGCCTTAGCGGTACTCAGGCTCAGGCTGATTTCTGACATAAGAGAAAGAAGAGATTATTGTCCTTATGCCCTTAGTGTGGACTCTGGACAGAGCAATGGACTAATGAGGGCGTTGGGATTCTAGTCCGTGCTCCGTCACGGGTGAGTCCATACTACAGGCAAATGTATCTCCCTGGGTCTCTCTGGTCTGCACACTGAAGGGGCTGCACTCTATAGCCCAAGCCTCCACGGCTCCAGACTCCTTGAACTGAGGCTGACCGAGGCGCATGCACGATCGAGGGGCTCGAGCACCAAGCGCGGCTGGCCCCCAGGATCGGGGTCTCGCGGCACAAAGGGCGACAGGGCAGCCAGGCCGCGCCCACGCCCCGTGCCCGCGCGCCGGGAACTCCTGCTGTCGGCACGCGCCCCTCCCGCCGCCCCTCGAGCGCGCCGATGCTGGGGATCCCCGGGGCGAGGTGGCCGCCATTACCCGAACGCGGCCGCGGGTCCGGCCCGTGGGACGTGGATCCCGGGCTTCAGCGCTGAGAGAAGCAGCCGCAGGCGCAACACGCCCCGGCCGCCCAGCACAGCCACCATGGTCACAGGTCGCGTAGCTGCCGGGAGTGCGCATGCGCTAAGACCAAGCGCGGTACCCGGCCCACTCTGCCCCGAAGCCACGCCCTCTGCTCCGCCCACCTCGCCTCTCCATCCTGCTCCGCCCTCTGCCCGCCCCGCCCCGAAGCCACGCCCTGCCGGGTGCTTTCCCATGGGCGACCGAAACTCGGCTCGTGGTTTCGCAGTCCTGGAACCGCCGGCACCCGCGTAGACCGTCCCCTCTCGGTGCTGGCTCTGGCTCCCGGGATGAGTGTCCCCGTCGGCGCTGCCCCGCCCTCGCTCGTCGCCTCAGCGACCATGGCCTTTCCAGGAGGCGAGGCCGCCAGCCATAGCGCCCTCGCTGCGTCGGCGTCCAGGCGGGACTCCGGAGTGGGCGGGGCTCCGGCTCTAGGCAGGCTGCTATGTTGGATCAAGTAAAGTTCTAAACGCTGTGCACCTATTTAGTACTGACTAGTACTAGGAAGTGTATTTGCTTTTCGGAGATGATGGGATCTAAATTTTGTTTATACCACTTCACGCCCATTAGGATGGCTACTAGCAAAACCCCCAGAAATTAGTGTTGGTGAAGATGTAGAGAAATTGAAGCCCTTGTATATTGCTGTTGGGAATGTAAAATGGTGCAGCCATGTGATGAACAATACTGCGGTTCCTCAACAAATCAGTTATATGATCCAGCATTTTCTTTTCTGGGTATATAACCCAAAAGAATTTAAAACAGGGTGTACAAGAAGAAATGTTTTTACACTCACGTTGACAGCGGCACTATTCACAATAGCCAAAAGGGTGGAGGCAATTTAAGTGTCCAAAAACAGATACATGGATAAGCAAAATGTTGTCTGTGCATGCAAGGGAACATTTTTTAGCCTGAACAAAGAACGAAATTCTGACACTTGCTACTACATGGATGAACCTGGAGGACACTATGCTGAGGGAGGTAAGCCAGTCAAAAAAAGACAAATACTGTGTGATTCCACTTATATAATAAGGTACCTAGAGGAGTCAAACTTATAGGGACAGAAAATAGAATGGGGGTTGTTGAGGGCTGGTGGAAGGGGGAATGGAAAGTTGGTGTTTCATGGGGACAGAGTTTCAGTTTGGAGAGATGAAAAAGTCCTGGGGATGGATTTTGGTGATGCCTGCATTACATTGTGAGTGTACTTACTGCCACTGAACTACACACCTAAAAGTGGTTTAAGTGGTAAGTTTTATGTATGTTTTACCACAATTAATTTTTTTTCTTTTGGCTGTATAATTGCAGCTTTATAAAGGTTATAGACATTATCTAATTGAAAGCTCAGTGGAGAAAAAAAACAACTATTGCTTTTTAAGTCAATCGTTCTGCCTTAATTGGAAATAACTGGCAGATTTGTGGCTACTGTTGTAGCCTTGGCTTGAATAATTGGAGACAACAGCTTCTTTGCATATTGCATTTCTTCTCCTCCAAGAGACCTTTTTGGTGTAACAGTCAGTCCTGTGAGCACAGTGCTTGTAGGTGTTACACTCATAGAAATTTCTGTCACCTGCAGTGTCCTCACTGGCCCATTGGACTTTCTTGAGTAGTAAAGGCAGTTTTGGCCTAAATACAGACTATGCAAAAGTTTTCATATTCTACTCTCAACATAAATCTATCACATTAATTCCTGCATAAAAGGAAAGAGACATATATAATGTTTGAGTTTAATATCGTTTGACTTTCAGAAATCTTTGGTGAGGTCAGTATTTCCTTTTTTCCTGATATGTTGATTGGGGTTTCATCTCAGAAATGATAAAAATAGCTGTCTGTACAGTTTCAACACCAGTTACCCTTGTGCTAATAAAAAACGGTAGCACTGAGTTTTAGGTTATTGGTGTCACAATTTTTTTTTTTTGAGACGGAGTTTTGGTCTTGTTGCCCAGGCTGGAGTGCAATGGCGCAATCTCAGCTCACTGTAACCTCTGCCTCGCAGGTTCAAGCAATTCTCCTGCCTCAGCCTCCTGAGTAGCTGAGATTACAAGCACCCGCCACCATGCCCGGCTAATTTTTGTAATTTTAGTAGAGACGAGGTTTTGCCATGTTGGCCAGGCTGGTCTCAAACTCCTGACCTCAGGTGATCCACCCGCCTCAGCCTCCTAAAGTGCTAGGATTACAGGTGTGTGCCACCGCGTCCAGCGTGGTGTCACTATTTTTAAGTAACATACCTGACAACCAGTTCTTTATATATAGCAAGATCGTACAGTTTAAAAAAACTGCCATTTTTGTGCCAGGCACCTTATGATATATCATATTTCTTTAATCTTCACATTAGCCTTCTGTGCTATTGCACTCTCCATTTATAGATGAGGCAACTGAGGCTAAGAAAGGTTAGGAAGCAAGCCCTAGGTAACACAGCTGAAAAGTAATTTTGAGCTGCTCAATTTCAGGACTCTATACTTGCATAATGACGGCGAAAGGTTAGGAAGCAAGGCCTGGGTAACACAGCTGAGAAGGGGCAGGGGGGAGTTTTGAGCTCTCAATTTCAGGACTCTATACTTGATGATGATGATGATGATTGCTATTATTATTGAGGCACGGTGTGATCACAGCTCCCCACAGCCTCAAACTCCTGGGCTCAAGTGATCCTCCCACCTTAGCCTGCCAAGAAGCTAGGACTACAGGCATACACCACCACACCTGGCTAATATTTTTTAATGTTTTTGTGGAGATAGGGTCTTGCTGTGTTGTCCACACTGGTCTCGAACTCATGGCCTCAAGCGATCCTCCCAGCTTGGCCTCCCAAAGTGCTGGGATTACAGGCATGAGCCACTATACCTGGTCGTATACTTGGATTATTGCATATTGTAAAAATCACTGTAGTAGCATTAACCTTTCAGTGATTTCTCTGAAATCAGCTGCTTCTAAAATCTTGAATATTTACACTATTTATGCCTTTATTATAATTAGAAAACCCTTTCCCTTTCATAAATACCACACATTAAAATGTACATCAAAATACTGCCTAAAATATTTTGTGATTTATTAAACATTTTATTCCTGAAACCCTAACCTCACGTGACAGACCCAAAGCAAAGATGATGATTGTAGCAACAAGTAGAAAATCTACCAAGCAGGACTGTGGGAGCTGGAAGGAGGTCTCCGTTACCAGCAATAACCTAGGGTGTGAGTATTTGTTTCCGAACCAAGTGCGGACAGTCTCGGTTCTGCTTTGCTGGTCTGTGTCGTCATTGGCTCTGCCCATTAACAGCAGTGTTCTTGTGGAGCTTGGGCCTTGTACCTAACTCCTCACAGGCAAACTTGGTTCTTCTCACCATGGTGCTGAGAGAGTGGGGGTGAAGGGAAGGCCCCAGAGCCAGGCGCGGGGACAGCAGTGCTGCAGGCCTCTCATCCTGAGCGCCAAAATGCACTGGCAGGGAGGTGTTCTTACCATCAGCATCCCGTCTCCTGCTTGGCAGCGGGAGGGTAAAAGGGGATTATGCTCAGGAAATGCGGCCTCAGTGGCAGAGGCACCATGGAGAATCCGCATCTGTCCCAGTGACACATCACATCAATAGCCTAAAGTTGTGGTATAAATTTTTATTTTAAAAAGTGTTAAAAAATGCCTTGCCCTCTTGCCTTTGAACATTAATTATTCAACCTCTTTGGAATCTAAGAGATTTGATAACACCATTTGGATGGTGGTACAAGGAGCAAACAGAACTCACCCAGGCCCCTCCAGCAAAGCCTGGAGCCTCCCTCCATTCTCCCTTTTGGGCTGTAGGAGCCAAGGCTGCGTGGTGGCCAAGTAGTAACCGGACAGGTGCAGACAGGAGAGCCGAGGCTCATTACTTTACAGCAGTGCTCTTCTCAACCGGGGCAATTTTCCCCTTTCCTTGGACCATTTGACAATGTTTAGAGACTATTGTCACAACTGGGGCGGGGGGCTGGGGAGAACAGTGCCCCTGGCATCTAGTAGGTGGGGGCAGGGATGCTACTAAACATCCTACAAGGAACAGGACAGTCCCCACAACAGAATTACCCAGGCCGAGATGCCGACAGTGGCAAGGCTGAGACAGCCTGCTCTGCAGCCCCATTTCAGGGGTGTGTATGTGTCTGCTAGAGTTGAGGGGATTCACAATCAGAATCAACAACACTGTTATCAGCCCAAGACACCAGAATCTGTTCCGACAGCCAGATTGACCATCACCACACCCTTCTCGCCCTCCCTCTGGGGAGAGCTAAGCACACAGCCTTCCTTGTCGGTTTAGCAAAATGCCAGTGGACACTGAGCGGCCTACCCAGCTTCAGTCTTCTATTCTAGTTCTTTCATCCACCCCCAGGTTTCAGGTGGGCTTTGAAAGGCTGGGTGCTAGAGGCACAATTACCACACTCAGAAGCTGTCCTTTTTCACTCTGGCACACAGAAAAAATATGAAAATACTTTCACAGTACACAGAGTAAACCGAGGAAGCCACTCAACAGTATCAGCCCTGAGGTTCTGGTCTCACCCAGGGGTAGAGATCAGCATTTCCTGTTCCCTCTCCAGGGCACTCAGGCTGGGTGAAGGTACCAGAATGCCAGGAAATAACTTTAAAAGTCAATCAAGAATTTTTGTTGTAGTCACGGTTAGTACCAATTCCTTGCAACAACTGCCTGGGAAATTCTGATGTTTCCCCCCTCCTTGGTACCCCTTTAAATCCATTCAGTTAATTTGAAGACTCAATATAAATTCAATTCATTAAAAAATAATCGATAATTTAATGGGCTGAAGACTGCACGTGGTTCTTAGAGCCTACAGTGGCTGACAGAGTATTGGGTATTAACGTTAACGGATCCTGTGATGTGGCGGTGAGCTGCAGCTGTGATCCACGAAGTCTCTGAACAGGGCTTAGAATCTGACTGCACTTTGTTTTTAACAGGAGCCTACGTGAAGAAGAGAGCACACAATTTTAAAAGTTGATTTTATATTCTCTGAGTTTTTCTTCTTGCTTCAACAAAACTCTAGGAAATGCCATAAGCTGAAAGAACATGACCTTCCTCAGACATCTCTTCTCTCCCTTTCCAAACACAACTAGGAGTCATTTTTTTATTGGTGCTATGCCATTAAGAGGTCTTCCTGCTTACGCTTTCCTCAGAGCGGATTGTTGGCTGGGCGCAGTGGCTCAGTGCCTGATATCCCAGCACTTTGGAAGGCCGAGGCGGGAGGATCACTTGAGTCCAGAAGTTTGAGACCAGCCTGGCAACAGAGTGAGACCCCTTTGCTGCAGATTTCTTTCCCCATTCTCCAGCTATGAAGTACAGGAAACAAAATTTCTGCAGACACAGAACCCCTATCAGTGAGGACAGAATTCTGAATGCTCTGAGGCAGCCAACTTTCTGGGGTTATCCACTAAGTGAGGCGTCCACTTCAGCTGCCGTAGCCCATCCAGGGTTAGTTCTGGCTGACGTAAATCAAGCTGCTCAGAAGGTCGATCCTGGAACACTGGTGGAGCGCCTGGGCCAGCTTCCCCACCGTGGCTCCCTTTATGCCTTCCCTCATCACCCACTTTTGGAGCATCTGGTAAACCTTTTCTTTCAGTCCATCTCGCTCATAGTCATGGTCAATTTCATCAATCTGAGACTGTGTGAAGCCCAGTTTACGGGCACAGTTTTTCCAGTGCTTTCCCAGATTTTCCCTGATTGGGTCCAGGTGTTTATCCGTCAGACTAGTGGTATTATCTGCCAAATGGGAAAAAGAAGAAGGTATCAAGCTAAAACCCATTCAAACATTCCAGCTTCCTGAATTGCTAAAAAACCCAAGTGAAATGAAGAGTACCAGAAGACAGTGAAAAAGATAACTTCTTAGTTATATAGCTGTTGATGCACTGGCAGACATTTCACATGCCTGCTAGCCCACATGGAGTCTTTATGTGAATTAGAATAGGGCATTCCCGGCCTGGCGTGGTGGCTCATGCCTATAATCCCAACACTTTGGGAGGCCAAGGCAGGAGGATCACTTGAACCCGGGAGTTCTAGACCAGTCCTGGGCAACACAGCAAGAACCTGTCTCTACCAAAAAAAAAATTTTTTTTAATTAGCTGGGTATGGTGGCACATGCCTGTAGTCCCAGTTACTGAGGAGGCTGAGACAGGAGGATCACTTGAACTCAGGAGTTCGAGGCTGCAGTGAGCCATGACTGTGCCCCTGTACTTCAGCCTGGGCCACAGAGCAGGATGTTGTCTCAAAAACAAAACAAAAAAGAATAAGGCATTCCTTCCTCCTAGTAGACACATCCCTGAGCCACAGCTGATGGCTCTGTGAACAAAACCCCTGTGTGGCTACGAGGTTGGGTGTTCTAGTCAATCTTAGCCAGTGATCCTGTTGGTATTAGACCTTCCTGGGTGTAAAGGGAAAACCACCATTTTTGTTCCTTTTAGACATTCTCCGCTTACATCTGGCCAGAGTTAAAGCCGCTCAACTCCTGACCACCACCCCGGCCCAACAGTTCACTTTCCTCTTACTTAATCAAGGAATTGTCCAGCAGGCGTGAACCCATTCAGTTACAAAGCCTTCCTTGTCTTTCAAGCGACGAGGTAACTATACTCTTCAAGGTCTGTTTTTGGACCCTAACCCCTCCTTTACTCCACCCCACTGCCGACCGACATTGCCTCTTCTCCAATAGCCATAACCTCTCTCCTTCTACTGGTTCCTTCCCTTCGCCCTTCATAAAAATAATAAAAGGAAACAAATGAAAATGTACAACAACCACAACAAAAAAAATTCCTTAATCCCCACACTACCTCATTAAACAGAATATAAGGAAGAAAACATTTCATTCTTCCTTCCCACCTCTCTTCTTTCCTCAGCCCTCTGTGATGTGGCTCTCTCTCTATCCATATCTTATAGATTGTCAGCAGTCCAAGAACTTCCCAAGATATTTTCCAAATTTTGTCAATATTTCTGTAGGGGGTAGATCCTGGGTTTCATTAGATTCTCACAGGTGCCCCTGACCATTCGCAAGTTCTGTTCTAGGTATTTTAAAAGCTGTCCTTCAAATGGGTTAGACCAGGGGTTGGCCAACTATGGCCTGTGGGCCAAATCTGACTCCTGCCAGCATTTGTAAATCCACTTTTATTGGAACACAGCCGTGCTCATTCATGTACATATTGTCTGTGGTTGCTTTTGCACTACAATAAGAGAGGTGAGTAGTTCCAAGAGACCTCAAAGCCAGCAGGGCCTAACATTTACTATTGGTTCCTTTACAGAAAAAAAAAAAAAAAGCGCCAATCCCATGGTTAATTAGAAAGCTGAGTTCTTAATCAAGTCGTTTTGGCCTCATGACTTTTTCCAGACTGTACTTTGGGATTAGCATTATGGGCTGCACCATAGAACCCTATAAGAGATAGCCCTCTTGATTTTATTACAGAAGTGCTGTGGAGGGCACAGTCTTCTATCTTTTACAGGATCTCCTTCGATGAGGGCCTGACACAGCTATTTCTTCTGGGTCTGAGAAGTAATACTGATGATGATGATGATGAAAGTTTAACACTTTTTATAGAACTTACTATGTGCCAGGCAGTGTTCTAAGCTTTTTATACATATCAACTCATTTAATTTTCACAACAAATCCATAAATTAAATACTGTGATTATCTCCATATTAAAAATAAATAAATGACAAAGGAATTATATGGAAATTACAAAGATATTTTGCAGAAGTAACATAAGAAAACTTTCAAGAAGAATTATCAGAGAAATTTTAAGATTCCACTATGTCCTTCTCACAAGTAAGAAAGTTCAAGGTTGCTAGGCGTTGAGTCCTTCCAGGGTATCTTACCAAAGATAGCTTGGTACTTAGCAGCTGGCTCTTCTTTGAAGTTCGTATTTGTGCTGTCTAGTAGTGATGAACTCGTCCCACCAATCTCCATATAATTGTAGGCTCCAATCTGAATGCCAGTACTATTGTATATGGTATATTTTATAGATTCATCTGCATAGAGAGAAACACACAGGTAAGTAATTCTAGATCAAAAGCAAGAGAAAAAAATACAGCATGGCAAAAAAGCAGGGCTTTATGCCAAACATTAAGTTAATTATCCTATGCCACCCTTTAAACTTTTCTTCTTTCAAATCTGGCTAAACCACCTCATACCCATTAGGATGCCTATGATTAAAAAAAAAAAAAGAAATAACACATATTGACAAAGATGTGGAAAAAATGAAGCCCTTGTGCACTGCTGGTGGGAATGTGAAATGGTGCAGCTGCTCCTATAAAGAGTATAGTGGGCCAGGTGCGGTGGCTCACACCTGTAATCCCAGCACTTTGGGAGGCTGATGCAGGTGATCACCTGAGGTCAGGAGTTCAAGACCAGCCTGGCCAACATGGTGAAACCCCTTCTCTACTAAAAATACAAAAATTAGCCAGGCGTGGTGGTGGGTGCCTGTAATCCCAGCTACTCAGGAGGCTGAGGCAGGAGAATCACTTGAACCCAGGAGGCGGAGCTTGCAGAGTGAGCCAAGATCGTGCCACTGCACTCCAGCCTGGTGATAGAGTGAGAGTCTGTCTCAAAAAAAAAAAAAAAAAAAAATCGTGATTCTTCAAAAAAATTAAAGATAGAATTACCATATGATCCAGCAATTCCGTTTCTGAGTATATACCCAAAAGAACTAAAACAGGGTGTTGAAGAAATATTTCTACCCACGTGTTCACTGCAGCATTATTCACAATAGCTAAAAGGTGGAAGTAAGCCAGGCACCCATGAGCAGATGAGTGGATAACCCAACTGTGGTCTAGCTACACAATGGAATAGTCAGCCTTGAAAAGGAAGGGAATCACATCACATGCTACAACATGCATGAAGCTTGAGGACATTTCCTAAGTGAATGAAGCCAGCCACAAAGAAAAATGCTGCATGGTTCCACTCACATGAGGTACCTAGACTGGTCAGAGTCACAGAAACAGAGAGTAGAATGGTGGTTGTCCGGGGCTGGGAGGGGAGCTGGGGAGTTGGTGTTTAATGGATACAGAGTTTTAGTTTTGCAAGATTAAAACAGTTATATAGATAGATGGTGGTGATGGTTGCATAACACTGTGAATGTTAGATAATGCCACTGTAAAAATGGTTGAAATGGTAAATTTTATGTTTTTGAATTTTACCATAAAAAAATGTGGCTAACACCAAGTCAGAAAACAGAAGTGGATGAACAACACAGCAAAGCTCAGCCACACTTCCCAGCGGGATCCCACGACTCTGAACAGCATCTGTGAAGGGTCCTCCTCCTTTACCTGATAAACTCAAACCTCTCAGGTTCAGTATTCAGAAGCTAGCCACAGCTCTGCCCTACCCTCTTGTCTCTGATCTTCCTTTCACTGTTTCCTCCCTGTCTCCACTCCAGAGACTCCAGTCCCACCAGATTTCCCACCGATCTGCTGACATGATGCTCCTGCCTCTGCCTGGACTGCTGACCTCCCCACGTGCTTCTCCCTGCTTGTGAGTTTCTGACATAGGCCCAGCACAAATTCCACCTCCTTCCATGAGCCTGCACTGTAATCCTAGACTCAGCACTCTGCCCTGCGCCGCTCTGTATCTGAGCTGGGTCTGTTTGACTTCTCCACTAGAATGTGAGTCCCAAGGGCAGCGACCACACCCACTTGTTTTTGTACTCCTTACACTCGCTAGCCTGGGCCTTGGTACGGGGCATGGGCTCAATGACATTCATGCTGAGCTGAATTTGTCAAGTGTTGGTACTGTCCCTAAAGAGCACTTGGCATATCTTTGTAGGAGAGAGAAGGTGGTTGAGAAGACAGTTCTGAGGAGGGAGGGAAATGAGTATCAGCTCAAGGTACCTCCGTCAGCACACCTGGCCCTAAGGTAGGCCACCCTCTGGACCAGGCACTGTGCTCATTTGTTACATTTTCTCTGAGGAAGCCAAGGAAACTAGGGACCCTCTCTACTGAAAGGTGTAAGAAATATAGGATGTGCACACACACGCCATCTGTGTGCAATTCAGGGTGTTCGTGAAGCTGCTGAAACTGGGGTCCTTGGAATCCTAGCAAGGAACCCCTGTGACAGTCTCTGAGGTGCCTTCCAGTGCTCAAGGCTGTCTAGGTGTTCTTTGCTGACAATGATAATAACAGTGCTAATAACAGCAGCTACCGTTTACTGAGCACTTACTCTGCGCATCGCCAGGCACAGTGGTAAGCTGCCTTACCCTGTTTAATCCTCCTGGCCCACCACCTCCAGCTTACACTGACACCGTGTTCGTCACTCACAGTCTGCGCTCACCGCGGGCTTACATGGAGGTTTATTTACCCTGCACCTCTCTACTTGGAAATCTGTGTTCTTGAATCAGTGCTTTCTGCCCAAATCTGACCACTGGAAAAACCATGAAAGTTACGAAGTGGAGAAACGAATGCAATACTAGAAACATACTAGAGCTGATAATATATAAATTTTCAGTTGTAACATTTTCATTTATAATTGAGGAGAATGAACTCTGGAGAGGCAAATGACTTTCCCAAAGTCACCCATATAGTGACCGGCACAAGCAGGACTAGACCTGGGTCTCCTGACTCTTAGCCCAGTGAGCTTTCCTTTTCTAACCTCACTTCAAGCAGCACAGTGAATAAAAAGCAGTGGGTCTAAGAGCTCTTTCACTGAAAGGAAGACATTTATTTTCCTTTTGTACTTACTGCATACACACCCTTCTTCTATGGTATGGCAAATTAGAAAACTCATATTTTGGTATAGAGTTAGGACTTTTTGATGATAAAAGCAAGCAGAAGACTTATTTAAATTTGCAAGGAGAAACTCAGCGTGTTCATTTACTAGCTTAGTACCTGGCAGGATCATCTTTGGGAGCAGAAACACAGAAAATTCTATTATCTATTGTAGATCCAAGCGCCCCTTTCCCACTGAAAGCATCTCAGAACCCTGAAGAAGCTGCATCCCTGTACATCTGTCACTGGCAGAACCAGGAACCAGAACGAGGTGAAAACACAAAGAGATTTCTGGCACTAAACGGGTGTATTTGGGTTGCTCATGTAGAAAAAAGATAAAAAATGACACATTAAATATTGGTTTAGGGTCTGCCTTCTGTCCACTAGGATTTAAACTGTGTGAGGGAAGGGACTCAGGCTGTTTGTTCAGTTATAGCTCCAGTGCCTGGAGAACTGCACGTCACAAAGTGGGAAGAGTTTTGGAATTTTTTTTTTTTTTTTTTTTTTTTTGCGACAGTCTCGCTCTGTCACCCAGGCTGGAGTGCAGTGGTGCAATCTCGGCTTACTGCAACCTCTGCCTCCCGGGTTCAAGTGATTCTCCTGCCTCACCCTCCCAAGTAGCTGGGATTACAGGCGCACGCCACTATGCCCAGCTTTTTTTTTTTTTTTTTTGTATTTTTAGTAGAGACGGGGTTTCACCGTGTTAGCCAGGATGGTCTCAATCTCCTGACCTCGTGATCTTCCCACCTCGGCCTCCCAAAGTGCTGGAATTACAGGCGTGAGCCACTGTGCCCAGCCAGTGGAATTTTTTTTTTTTTTTCGAGACACAATCTCACTCTGTTGCCCAGGCTGGAGTGCAGTGGCATGATCTCAGCTCACTGCAACGTCTGTCTCCAGGGTTCAAGTGATTCTCCTGCCTCAGCCTCCCTAGTAGCTGGGGCTAAAGGCATGCGCCACCACGCCTGGCTAATTTTTGTATTATTTAGTAGAGACAGGGTTTTACCATGTTAGCCAGGCTGGTCTCGAACTCCTGGCCTCAAGTGATCCACTCACCTCAGCCTCCCAAAGTGCTGAGATTACAGGCATAAGCCACCACACCTGGCCAACCATGGCCCCAGCTGAAATTTTTATTGACTTAATCATGAATGAATAAAATGATATGGCAATACTAATAAAAAATTTTATCCCCAACATGAAGGAAACAAAAGGACATTCTGCTCATAGGATTATACATGACTTGGATACTGCTTAATGTCTAATCCAATATTTTGCATTCTACAGATCTTATCATAAAACCTATGGAAGAAATCGAGGATGTTTGCATAGGACGTTTTTGGAGAATTTGGCCTTTTGAAAGAAAATGTAACTAAGCTCTGTGGTTCTGAAAGCTTCCTCTACCTGAGATGATTTCAAGATCTCCAGGACACCTGTGGGTATCATTGGTAGATGCTGTTCAGGTAGTTAAGGTGATGTTGGTGAGTATTATTTGATAAAAATGCTGGATATTACATTAACTCACTTCCATTCTAGACTGCCAGTAACTACTATCACCTACCTTTTACTTCACCTGATAGAGATATGGGAGTTAAAAGAAAATTTTTCATCACTAATGGTAGTCTTTGAGCTATATAAGGTCAGAAACAAAAATATCCAAGACTGATTTCTTACCTTCAAAAAGTAGCAAGCAAGGTAAAAGCAAATAAGCAGATAACTTCCCATTTATCAGAGATTGGGTGAAATAGGACTACTATGCACTCCAGGTTAGAGTCAAAGATGCCTGCCAGTCACAAGGACCTGTAACCCGATGCTTGCGGGCATCTGTGATGAATCCTAGCCCCAGATGAAATACTCCCAGACCAAGTGGTTTGGCAGGGTCCATTCCACAGGGGCAATTTGCATCTGGCAGCTGATGATGCCCTCTGTCCCCATTATAACCCACAATCTATAATAGAGCTGCTTGGTTGCTGTATTTTCTGAAAAATAAAAAAAGACAAGCTTGTGACTATCGAAGACCCATTTACCTGTTGGTGGCAAGGAGCTGAATGGCATGGTGGGTGTATTTCCTAGATAGTTGGTCTCAGGCACTGGGATATTATGCAGACTAGGCATATGACTTGGAATTGGCCTGTACCAAACTCTGGGACCTGCTGTTCCTGGATCCAGTGGTCTTGTTCCAAAGCCATGTGAGCTATATAATCCATTGTTCTGATACAGTACTTGAGGTTGGCTGGTGAGCCCTGAGGGCTGGTGCACTGCATTACCATGACTGGCTGCACTGGAATAAGCAGTGCCTTTTCCCTCTGTATTCTGAAAATTCTCGTAAGGTCTTTGCTGTGCAAAAGGGTCATGGGAGACCCTGCGTCTCCTTTCCTCCTCTCTGTTGTAAGCCACATTCTGTCTGGGCTGCTGTTTCGTCTGCCTGTCCATGCGGCTGCCATAAAGATGGTAGTTGGCTTCGTCTTGGAGTTTACTCTGCAGGCTGGGCTCATTCTCTTCTTGTGGGTGCTCCAGGGAAGGAGCAAACCAGGACTCCTCCACAGGACCCATCCCAAGTCCCTGGGAACTGTGCAGTGAACCAGGCTGTTCTGTGGCTGAGAAGAAATGATCAACATTAGAATGGGTGTCATGAAACATTAAAAAGTAAAATAAAATCTGAGCGCCGTCATGAATCTGTATCTCAAAGTAACACACAGAAAACAAGTACGAGACCAGTCCAAAGCATTTAGGAGATGGTCCTCTTCCCACAAGCTTTACAAATAATAATAGGAGCTCCTCGCTGGCAGTAAGAGAGTACTAGGAAAATTATAGCAAGCAAGAGAAAAGCGGCTGTTGCAGGGATGATCAAGGAAAAAAGGGACTTGGTTTGGAGCAGAGAAGGTGGTTGTCTCCTTGGAGCAATTCAGGTGGAAAATAAGATCTGTGGCTGGGTGCGGTGGCTCACGCCTGTAATCCTAGCACGTTGGGAGGCTGAGGCGGACGGATCACCTGAGGTCAGGAGTTCGAGACCAGCCTGGCCAACATGGCGAAACCCCATCTCTACTGAAAATACAAAAATTAGCCGGGCATGGTGGTGCATGCCTGTAATCCCTGCTGCTTGGGAGGCTGAGGCAGAAGAATCGCTTGAACCTGAAAGGCGGAGGTTGTAGTGAGCCAAGATCACACTACTGCACTCCAGCCGGGGTGACAGACTCTGTCTCCAAAAAAAAAAGATCTGCAGCAGCTCTGTCCTAAGCATGTCCCATGAATTCTTTCATTCTTGAAGAGCCCTATGAGAGGAGGAGCAATTATGATTTGATGAGTGAAGTTTAGAAGAGGTTAAGTAATTAGCCACAGATCAGGTAGCTAAGCGGCTTCAGTATCCTATACTCTGCCATCCCTTTTGTTACAGTGAAAAAAGTATCCCTACTTGACCTGAGACCAGCCTCTCTGCTTGTACCCTGGCTGTAAGTCACTCCGAGCTCCTCAGGGACTTTGCTCTCACATATGTCCCCTTCCTTCTTCTGAACTGTCACTTCTCCCCATCAGATATATTAGGCCTTTTGTTCAGAACACTCTATGACTGGTGAGCACACTGTTACTTCATATTTCAAATACATGTAACTTGACTCTCGAATATTATTATAAATTCCTGTAAGGCAGGTGTTCACTTTTATAGTTTCTTCTGTTTCCCATATGGTCCTGAATAGTCTTTTAGAGAGTGGAGTGAATGAGTAACCAAACAAATAAATGAATAGATTTTGACCATAGTGTAATTTACCTGAATTTGACCGGCTTGAAGGTACTGCCACACAATCAAGTTGAAGAGACTGCATTCTCTTCACAACTGCATTTTCGTTTGAATACTCTTTCTATAATTAAGAGCATAAATACACACTTTAGTGAACAGCAGGAAATAGAGTCCCAGAAAATTTTAACGAGAAGAATTCATATTTTCAGAAGGTAGAAATTTCACACAGATCTTACAAGTAGTAATTTTTTAAAATTAATGTTTTTCCCAAATAGCCAAAATGATCTTTAAAAAGAACAAGGTTGTAGGACTCACACTTCCTGATTTCAAAACTTACTACAAAGCTACAGTATTCAAAACAGCGTAGGACTGGCATAAAGACAGGCACATATGCCAGTGGGGCAGAATGGAAAGCCTAGGAATAAACCCTCCTATAAATGGCCAATTGATTTTTGACAAGGTTGCCAAGAGCATTCGATGGGGGAAAACTGAATATACACATATGAAATAATGAAGTTGGACCCTTATTTCATACCATATAAAAATTAACTCACAATGGATCAAAGACTTAATTTAAGGGCTAGTGCCACAAAAATTCTTAGAAGAAAACACAGGGAAAAAGCTTCATGACATTGGACTTGGCAGCGATTTCTTGGTTATGACACAAAAGCACAAACAAAAGTAAAGAGTAAAAATAATACATCAGAATTAAAAGCTTCTGTGCATCAAAGGATACTATGAAAAGAGTAAAAAGATAACCTACAGAATAAGGAAAAAATACTTTGGGAGGCCAAGGCAGGTGGATCCCATGAGGTCAGGAGTTCGAGACCTGCCAGGCCAACATGGTGAAACCTTGTCTCTACTAAAAATACAAAAACTAACCAGGCATGATGGTGTGTGCCTGTAGTCCTAGCTACTCGGGAGGCTGAGGCAGGAGTTATCTCTTGAACCTGGGAGGCAGAGGTTGCAGTGAACCAACATTCTGCCACTGCACTCCAGTCTGGGTGGCGACAGAGCAAGATTCTGTCTCCAAAAAAAAAATAAATAAATAAAATAAAATAATGGGGAAAAAGTTGCAAACAATATATATCTGAAAACGGATGAAATCCAGAACATAAAAAAAAAAAATCCTACAACTCAACAACAAAAAACAAACAACCCAATTCAAAAATGGGCAAAGAACTTGAATAGCAGTTTCTCCATAGAAGATATACAAATGGCCAATAAGCCATGAAGATGCTCAACATCATGAGTCATAGGGAAATGCAAGTCAAAACCACCATGAGGTACACTTTCACACTCCTTAGAGTGACTATAATATAAAAATGGTAAATAAAAAGTGTTGGTAAGATGGTGGAGAAATTAGAATCCTTGTGCATTGCTGGTGGGGAATATAAAATGGTGTAGCTACCATGTAAAACAATTTTAACAGTACTTAAAAGTTAAACATGGCCGGGCATGGGAGCTCACGCCTGTAATCCCAGCACTTTGGGACCTCAGATCACCTGAGGTTAGGAGTTTGAGACCAGCCTGGACAACATGGTGAAACCACCCCATCTCTACTAAAAATACAAAAAACTAGCCGGGCGTGGTGGTGTATGCCTGTAATCCCAGCTACTCGGGAAGGTGAGGCAGGAGAATCGCTTGAACCCGGGAGGCGGAGGTTGCAGTGAGCCGAGATGGTGCCACTGCATTCCAGCCTGGGCAACAGAGGGAGACTCTGTCTCAGAAAAACAAAAAGTTATACATAGAATTACCATATGATCTAGCAATTCCACACCCGGATATATATACCCCAAAGAACTGAAGGCAGGAACTCAAAATATGGTGCAGGTGTAGTATCCCTTATCCAAAATGCTTGGGATTAGAAGTGTTTTGGATTTTGGATTGTTTCCAATTTGGGAATATTTGCATGTACAGAATGACAGATCGTGGGGAGAGGACCTAAGTCTAAACATGAAGTTTATTTGTGTTTCATATGCACCTTATACACATAGCCTGAAGGTCACTTTATACCATATTTTAATAATTTTGTGCATGAAACAAAGTTTGAGGATACTGAACTATCAGAAAGCAGAGGTGTCAGGTGTGGTATTTTCCACTTGTGGCATCATGCTGGCACTCAAAACGTTTCAGATTTTGGAGGATTTTGAATTTTGGATTTTGGGTTTAGGGATGTTCAACCTGTATATCCATATGATGGAATGTTATTCAGCCATAAAAGGGAATGAAATTCTGATACATGCTATGAAACAGATGAACCTTGAAAACATTATGCTAAGTGAAATATGCCAGACTCCAAAGGAAATACATTGTGTGATCCTTTTGCTAGGAGCTACCTAGAATTCAGAGACAGAAAACAGAATAGAAGCTACCAGGGGCTGGGAGAGGGAGGAATGGGGAGTTACCGTTTAGCAGGTACAGAGTTTCAGTTTGGGATGATAAAAAAGTTCTAGATATAGATAGTGGTAATGGCCGCACAACATTATGAATGTACTTAATGCCACTGGATTGTTCACTTAAAAATGGTTAAAATAGAGAATTTTATGTTAAGTATATTTTGCCACAGTAAAAAACTTTTTCCTTATAGGAGCAATAATCCTCATTATAGAAAACATAGAAAATTATATATTCTTAAAACCTATCCATAGTTTTGCCCTACACCCAAAGATAAAATGTTAACACTTTGGTATTTTTCCTTCAAGTTTTTTTTTTCCTAGTTTTATTTGTATTTTGCTGTTAACGATTGTCTGCTATATAAATAAGTGGTCAAAAATACTAGCTAAATGAATACATGCATGATCTAGGGGAGAATGACAGAGGGTATTAATTATGTTCACACTTTGTAGCATTCTATATATTGTTTTTGTCTCTTTGCATGTTTATTTTTAGAGATCAAATCTGCCTCTGTCGCCCAGGCAGGAGTGCAGTGGCATGGTCATAGCTCACTGAAACCTCCAACTCCTGGGCTCAAGCAATCCTCCCAGCTTGTCCTCCCAAAGAGCTGGGATTACAGGCATGAGCCACCTCACCCAGCTGTATGTTTATTGTTTTTAATTAACATGAAAAGGGTTTTTTGTTGTTTTTTTTCTTGAGACAGAGTCTCACTGTGTCCTCCAGGCTAGAGTGCAGGCTCAACCTCCAGGCTCAAGAGAGCCTGCCACCTCAGCCTCCTGTGTAGCTGGGACAACAGGCATGCGCCACCACGCTTGGCTAATTTTTGTGTTTTTTGTAGAGATCGGTTTTTGCCATGTTGCTGGTTTTGAACTGGCCTCAAGAAATCCACCCACCTCAGCCTCCCAAAGTGCTGAGATTACAGGCACGAGCCACCCTGCTTAGCCTAATATGAAAAGTATTTTTGTTATTTTAATTTTATCAAATTGATTTTCTTTTTATAGTTATTTTTATTACACAAATATGTTAAGTACAAAGTCCTTTTGAAAGATTCAAACAGGCCAGACATGGTGGCTCACGCCTGTAATCCCAGCACTCTAGGAGGCCGAGGCGAGCAGATCGCTTGAGGTCAGGAGTTCAAGACCAGCCTGGCCAACATGGTGAAACCCCATCTCTACTAAAAGTACAAAAAAATTAGCTGGGTGTGGTGGTACACGCCTGTAATCCCAGCTACTCGGGAGGCTGAGGCACGAGAATCACTTGAACCCGGGAGGTGGAGGTTGTAGTGAGCCCAGATTGTGTCACTGCACTCCAGCCTGGGTGACAGAGTAAGACCGTCTCAAAAAGAAAACCAAAAAAACCCCCAAAGATTCAAACAATGCAGAATCACATAGAATAACATCCAAACATTCCTTCAGCACCTACTCTTCCATTCTCTAGAGGTAAGCCTTATCCAGAGTGTGATGCATATCACTCTTATTCTCTCTCTAGGAATTTGCACACACATTCCAGAAATATATATATATTTGAGACACAGTTTCACTCTGTTGCCCAGGATGGAGTGTAGTGGCACAATCTTGGCTCACTGCAACCTCCACCTCCCGGGTTCAAGCAATTCTCATGCCTCAGCCTCCTGAGTAGCTGGGATTATGGACATGCACCACCATACCTGGCCAGTTTTTTTTGTATTATTAGTAGAGACGGGGTTTTACCATGTTGGCCAGCTGGTCTCCAACTCCTCACCTCAAGTGATCTGTACAACTCCGCCTCCCATAGTGCTGGAATTACAGGCATGAGCCACTGCACCAGGCCAAAATATATATATCTTTAACATTAAAAGGACCACACTGTAAGTATTGTTTTGTGACTTATTTTTTTCACTAACAGCTAATCTTGAAGATCTTTCTATATCATTACATGTTAGTTTCCACCTCTTTCTTTTAAATGGCTATTAGTATTCTGTAGTTTAGATGAATCATAATTTAGGGCAGTTACTTATGGACATTTGAGTTGTTTCTAATTTTTCACTCTTATAAACTAAGGTGCAAAGAATGGAAACTACATCTTTGAGTGCACGTGAGCAGTATAGATTACTGAGAGTAGAACTGCAGCCAAACTTATGGGCTTGTGGAGTTTGTTGGGTGCCTCACCTTCTAATAAACTTCGCCACTCTTACCAACACTGCAGAAGACTGCTTGTTATTCTGCATTTTCACCAACACACTGTATCACTAATCTTTCAAAAATTTCAATCTAATGGATGAAAAATTGTAACGGGTTCATTTTGCCTTTCTCTGTTGGCGAGGCCAAATATCTTTTCTGAAGTATGTTGTTCAGTTTCTTTTTTGAATTGTCTATGTTCTTTGTCTATTATTTTTCTTTTATTTTGGTTTTTTTGTTTGTTTTTTTGAGACGGAGTCTCACTTTGTCACCCAGGCTGGAGTGCAGTGGCTCCATCTCGGCTCACTGCAAGCTCCGCCTCCTGGGTTCACACCATTCTCCTGCCTCAGCCTCCCAAGTAGCTGGGACTGCAGGTGCCTGCCACCACGCCTGGCTAATTTTTTGTATTTTTAGTAGAGATGGGGTTTCACCATGTTAGCCAGGATGGTCTCGATCTCCTGATCTCGTGATCCACCAGCCTCGGCCTCCCAAAGTGCTGGGATTACAGGCGTCAGCCACCGCACCCGGCCTATTTTTGTTTTTTATTTGTAGGCACTCTATTAAATATCCTGGATATTAATCCTTTGCTAAACACAATTTCTCCTTTTTGACTACCTTTCCATTTTCATGAAGTCATATACAATAATCTTTTTCTTTATACCTTGCGAATTTTGTGTGTGGCTTAAGAAACATACATGGATTGATTTTGGACTTTGTGGTAGACACAGTGATGGGCCTCTCAGATTCCCCCTCAAGGAGGGATTTGCTGCCCTGTTGCAAGGAGCTGAGTGAACAAACAGCCTGCAGCTGTGAACTCCTTTGCCCCAGGTACTCCCCTTCTGAGCCAGTGACTGAGAAAGGCGAGGGGATAAAGCCTTGGCCATTTCAGTCTGACGTGGGACAAGCCTGAGGGGCATTTGCTCAGTGCTCCCGGCTGCCAGAGCTGTCAGGCTTCGTTGCCTTCTGACTTCTTCCTCTGCTCATTCCTGCTTCCCACTCCTTCCTTGCACCCCAATCTCCAACTCAGTGGCTGCTTCTGGAAAACCCAACCTGCAAAGACTCACCTTTTCTATTAATCTATTTGATTATCCTTGCTGTAGTCTACACTGTTCTGATCTCCTCCTTCAGAATTTTCTTAGCTATCTTTGTACATTTTGTGTAACTTAAGAGTCAGCTTGTTGAATTCCATAAAGAATTTGGTTGTGCTTTTAATTAGGATTGCACTCCTTTTATAAATCATGTTGGGGAGAATAGACAGCTTTAGTATGTCAAGTCTTTCCATCCATAAACACATTTCACTGTTTATTTGGATTTATTTCATGTTGTTTAGAAAAGCCTTGCCATATTTGCCAATGTTTAGACACATATTATCTTATTGTGGTTTTAATTTGCATTTCTCTAATTACCAGTAAAGTTGTGCACTTTTTTGGTGTATTTATTCTCTTTGGTGAAGTGCCCATTCAGCTATTTCATCCCTGTTTTAACTGGGTTGCATATCTTTTCCTTTCCGATTTATACAATTTCTCTAGATTTTATGTATTCAAGTCCTTTGTCAGTTATGTGTGTGTTGCACTTCTCCCATTCTGTGACTGGTTTATTTATTTATTTATTTATTGGAGATGGGGTCTCATTCAGTAACCCAGGCTGGAGCGCAATGGCGCAGCCTCCTGGGCCCAAGCAGTCATCTCATCTCAGCCTCCTGAGTAGCTGGGACCGAAAGTGGGCACCACCACGCCCAGCTAATTTCTTAATTATTATTTGTAAAGAGGAGGTCTCACTATGTTGCCCAGGCTAGTCTCAAACTCCTGGCCTCAAGCGATCCTCCCACCTCAGCCTCCCAAAGTGCTGGGATTACAGGCATGAGCCACCATGCCCTGCCTCCATTCTCTTAATGGTTTATTTTGATGAATAAAAGTTTTAAAATGAATGTATACATTCATTTAAAAATCTTCTAAATTTATAAATGTATAAATTTATTTATAAATAATTTATAGAATTTTACAATGAATTCGTTTATAAATTCGTTTTAAACATTCATTTAAAATTTTATAAATTTTAAAATTTATCAGTTCTTACCACTACAGCTAATGCTTTTGTATACTGTTGAGGATCCCCTACCCTGAGGATATGGACAAATTCTCCTATATTTTCCAATAGCTTTATAATTTTATCTTTCACATTTCTGTCAGTAATCAACCTGGAGCTGATTTTTTGGTATGGTGTAAGGTAGAAGCCCAATTTCATTTCTGTACCATGTGGATACCCAGTTGTCTCAGCACCATTTACTGAAAAGACTGTCACTTCCCCACTGCTCTACAGTGCCATCTCTGTGAAAATCAAGTTTCTAGGTATGTGTAGATCTATGGGTTTTCAACTCCATTCCAACAGTATCTGTCCAACCTACACCAATACCACTGTCTTTTTAATATAGCTTTATAATAATTCTTGACAAGAATCTGATAAGGCAAACCCTTCACTACTAGTCTTGTCCTTCTTCAAGGGCATCCTGGCTGATCTTATTCTCTTCTTTACCTTTTCATATGGATTTCAGAGTAGGTTTGTCAAGTTCCACTCCTCACACCCACTTGCCACACACACACAAAACTAAAAGGTTGAGATATAGGCTGGGCGTGGTGGCTCACACCTGTAATCCCAGCCCTTTGGGAGGCCAAGGCAGGCGGACCATTTGAGGTCAGGAGTTTGAGACCAGCCTGGCCAACATAGTGAAACCCCATGTCTACTAAAAATACAAAAATTAGCCGGGCATGGTGGCGCACGCTTTTAATCCCAGCTACTCGGGAGGCTGAGGTAGGAGAATTGCTTGAACGCGGGAGGCAGAGGTTTCAGTGAGCCGAGATTGCGCCTCTGAACTCCAGCGTGGGCAACAGAGCAAGACTCTGTCTCAAAAACAAAACAAAACAAAACAAAATACTTGGCTGGGCACGGTGCCTCACACCTGTAATCCCAGCACTCTGGGAGGCTGAGACGGGCAGATCACGAGGTCGGGAGATCGAGACCATCTTAGCTGACACGGTGAAACACCGTCTCTATTAAAAAAAAAAAAAATTCGCTGGGTGTGGTGGTGGGCGCCTGTAGTCCCAGCTACTCAGGAGACTGAGGCAGGAGAATTGTATGAACCCAGGAGGCAGAGCTTGCAGTGAGCCGAGATCATGCCACTGCACTCCAGCCTGGGAGACAGAGCGAGACTCTGTCTCAAAAAAAAAAAAAAAAAAAAAAAAAAACTTGAGATATTGGTTGAGATTGCATTGATTCTATAGATCAATTTGAGAAGAGCTGACATCTTCGTACTATGGTGACTTCCGAATCACAAAGTAAATGGTATATTTCTTCACTTACTTTGGTCTTATGTCTCTCAATTAAGGTTATACTTTTAGAGTTACTACATACCTTTTGTAAGATTTATTTTTATATATTGATTTTTATAACTAAACTATTATTAATTTAAAAGATACTTTTGAGTTTTTCTATGTACACATCCTATAACCTATGAACAGTTTTGTTTCTTCTTTTCCAATCCTATATCTCTTCTTTCTTTTTCTTGCTCTACTAAAATAGCTAGGGCCTCCAGTACCAGGCTGACCAGAAATAGGGGTGGTAAGTAGCTTGGTCTTGCATATTATTTCAGAGAAAGGTGGGCTGGACACAGTGGCTCATGCCTTGTAATTCCAGCACTTTGGGAAGCTGAAGAGGGCAGATGGCTTGAGCTCATGAGTTTGAGACCAGCCTGGGCAACATGGCAAAATCCTGTCTCTACAAAAAATACAAATTAGCCAGGCATGGTGGTGCATGCCTGTGGTCCCTCAGGGGGCTGAGGTGAGAGGATTGCTTCGGCCTGGGAGGTCAAGGATACAGTAAGCCGTGATCACGCCACTGCACTCCAGCCTAGGCAACAGAGTAAGACCTTGCCTCAAAAAAAAAAAAAAAAGGCTGTTAACATTTTGTTAAAATAAGTACAAAACTTCTGTTCGTTTCAAGATACCTTATTATCAGAAAAGGAATTTCTTTTCTGACTTGCTAGCATTTTTAATCATGAATAAACATTACATTTTATCAACAGATTTATCTGCATCTATTGAAAAGATATATCTTTTTCTCATTTAAGAAGACAATGTAATAAATTATAATGACAGATTTTCATAAAGTTAAACTAACTTTGCATTCTTGGCAGAAACCGAATTTTGCGTTTGTTCTTTGATGAATTGAGTTTGTTTATAGTATTTTATTTAGAACTTTTGCATCTATACTGTTAAACAAGATTGGTCTGTAATTTTCCTTTCTTGTACCTTATTTTCCAGTTTTGGGAATCAAGGTTATGCTTACACAAAGTGAATCTGGAAGAGTTCTCTCTTCTCTATTATCTAGAGAAAACTGTATAAGATTGACATAATTTCTTCATTGAATATTTGGCAGAAATCATTGATGAAGCTCTCTGTGGGGTTTTCTCTATAGGAAGTTTTCTTTTTTTATCACTGCTTCTTTTAATAGTTACAGGAATATTCTAAGTTTCTATCTCTATTTGAGTTAGCTTTGCTAAATTGAACTTTTTAAAGACATTGGTCCATTTTACCTAAATTTTAAAATAATTAACAAAAAGTTGTTCATAATATTCTCTTAATAACATTTGATGTCTGCAGGACCTATAGTGATTCCTCCTTATTCATGGATTTCAATCTTGTCTCCTTTTTTGTCAGTCTTTTTTTTCTTTTTTTTCTCAGAAGTAGGGTCTCACTCTGTTGCCCAGGTTGGAGTGCAGCGGCATGATCATAGCTTACTCCAGCCTCAAACTCCTGGGCTCAAGCAGTCCTCCCATCTCAGCCTTCATGGGACTACTGGCACATGCCACCATGTCTCATTAATTTTTTATTTTATTTTTTTAGAGATGGGGTCTCACTGTGTGGCCTAGGCTGGTCTCAAACTCCTGGCCTCAAACGATCCTCTCACCCCAGCCACCCAAGTAACTGGGATTACCTCACACCTGGCTCTATCAGTCTTAATTAGTCTATTGTATTAGCCTTTCGAATAACCAATATTTGGATTTTTTGATCCGCTGTTAGTTACTTTCTGCGGCATTAATTTATGCTCTTTTCCTTATTATTTACTTCTTTTTTCTCTAGGTTTATTTGCTATCTTCTTCAGATAATGTTTGGCTAATTAATTTTCAGCCTTTCTTCATATATATATATATATATATGAAATATTTATTTATTTAAGGTTATATTAAGTACTCCTTTGCAAAGTGCATTTTATAATTTTAATATGTAGTGTTTTGTTAGCCTTCAGTGAAAAATATTTTCTAAATACCATTGTGATTTATTTTTTTTGATCCAAGGGATATTTAAAAGTATATTTCGTTACTTCTAACCACATAAGATTTTCCAATTACCTTTTTAAAATTAATTTTGAACATAATTGAAATATACTCAGAGGACATTTTTATGATTACAATCCTTTTAAATTGAGACTTATTTGATTTCCCAGCACATGGTCAGTTTTTGAAAATGCTCTGTATGTTCTTGAAAAGCCTTTAAAGGTAGGTGCACTGCAGTTACTAGGTGCAGCAGGTAGGTACTCTGCAGTTACTAGGTGCAGCAGGTAGGTACGCTACAGTTACTAGGTGCGGCAGGTAGGTACTCTGCAGTTACTAGGTGCGGCAGGTAGGTACTCTGCAGTTACTAGGTGCAGGAGGTAGGCGCGCTGCAGTTACTAGGTGCGGCAGGTAGGCGCGCTGCAGTTACTAGGTGCGGCAGGTAGGCGCGCTGCAGTTACTAGGTGCGGCAGGTAGGCGCTCTGCAGTTACTAGGTGCGGCAGGTAGGCGCGCTGCGGTTACTAGGTGCGGCAGGTAGGCGCGCTGCGGTTACTAGGTGCGGCAGGTAGGCGCGCTGCGGTTACTAGGTGCGGCAGGTAGGCGCGCTGCGGTTACTAGGTGCGGCAGGTAGGCGCGCTGCGGTTACTAGGTGCGGCAGGTAGGCGCGCTGCGGTTACTAGGTGCGGCAGGTAGGCGCGCTGCGGTTACTAGGTGCGGCAGGTAGGCGCGCTGCGGTTACTAGGTGCGGCAGGTAGGCGCGCTGCGGTTACTAGGTGCGGCAGGTAGGCGCGCTGCGGTTACTAGGTGCGGCAGGTAGGCGCGCTGCGGTTACTAGGTGCGGCAGGTAGGCGCGCTGCGGTTACTAGGTGCGGCAGGTAGGCGCTCTGCGGTTACTAGGTGCGGCAGGTAGGCGCTCTGCGGTTACTAGGTGCGGCAGGTAGGCGCTCTGCGGTTACTAGGTGCGGCAGGTAGGCGCTCTGCGGTTACTAGGTGCGGCAGGTAGGCGCTCTGCGGTTACTAGGTGCGGCAGGTAGGCGCTCTGCGGTTCCTAGGTGCGGCAGGTAGGCGCTCTGCGGTTACTAGGTGCGGCAGGTAGGCGCTCTGCGGTTCCTAGGTGCGGCAGGTAGGCGCTCTGCGGTTACTAGGTGCGGCAGGTAGGCGCTCTGCGGTTCCTAGGTGCGGCAGGTAGGCGCTCTGCGGTTCCTAGGTGCGGCAGGTAGGCGCTCTGCGGTTCCGAGGTGCGGCAGGTAGGCGCTCTGCGGTTACTAGGTGCGGCAGGTAGGCGCGCTGCGGTTACTAGGTGCGGCAGGTAGGCGCGCTGCGGTTACTAGGTGCGGCAGGTAGGCGCGCTGCGGTTACTAGGTGCGGCAGGTAGGCGCGCTGCGGTTACTAGGTGCGGCAGGTAGGCGCGCTGCGGTTACTAGGTGCGGCAGGTAGGCGCGCTGCGGTTACTAGGTGCGGCAGGTAGGCGCGCTGCGGTTACTAGGTGCGGCAGGTAGGCGCGCTGCGGTTACTAGGTGCGGCAGGTAGGCGCGCTGCGGTTACTAGGTGCGGCAGGTAGGCGCGCTGCGGTTACTAGGTGCGGCAGGTAGGCGCGCTGCGGTTACTAGGTGCGGCAGGTAGGCGCGCTGCGGTTACTAGGTGCGGCAGGTAGGCGCGCTGCGGTTACTAGGTGCGGCAGGTAGGCGCTCTGCGGTTACTAGGTGCGGCAGGTAGGCGCTCTGCGGTTACTAGGTGCGGCAGGTAGGCGCTCTGCGGTTACTAGGTGCGGCAGGTAGGCGCTCTGCGGTTACTAGGTGCGGCAGGTAGGCGCTCTGCGGTTACTAGGTGCGGCAGGTAGGCGCGCTGCGGTTACTAGGTGCGGCAGGTAGGCGCGCTGCGGTTCCGAGGTGCGGCAGGTAGGCGCGCTGCGGTTCCGAGGTGCGGCAGGTAGGCGCGCTGCGGTTCCGAGGTGCGGCAGGTAGGCGCGCTGCGGTTCCGAGGTGCGGCAGGTAGGCGCGCTGCGGTTCCGAGGTGCGGCAGGTAGGCGCTCTGCGGTTCCGAGGTGCGGCAGGTAGGCGCTCTGCGGTTCCGAGGTGCGGCAGGTAGGCGCTCTGCGGTTCCGAGGTGCGGCAGGTAGGCGCTCTGCGGTTCCGAGGTGCGGCAGGTAGGCGCTCTGCGGTTCCGAGGTGCGGCAGGTAGGCGCTCTGCGGTTCCGAGGTGCGGCAGGTAGGCGCTCTGCGGTTCCGAGGTGCGGCAGGTAGGCGCTCTGCGGTTACTAGGTGCGGCAGGTAGGCGCGCTGCGGTTACTAGGTGCGGCAGGTAGGCGCGCTGCGGTTACTAGGTGCGGCAGGTAGGCGCGCTGCGGTTACTAGGTGCGGCAGGTAGGCGCGCTGCGGTTACTAGGTGCGGCAGGTAGGCGCGCTGCGGTTACTAGGTGCGGCAGGTAGGCGCTCTGCGGTTACTAGGTGCGGCAGGTAGGCGCTCTGCGGTTACTAGGTGCGGCAGGTAGGCGCTCTGCGGTTACTAGGTGCGGCAGGTAGGCGCTCTGCGGTTACTAGGTGCGGCAGGTAGGCGCGCTGCGGTTACTAGGTGCGGCAGGTAGGCGCGCTGCGGTTACTAGGTGCGGCAGGTAGGCGCTCTGCGGTTACTAGGTGCGGCAGGTAGGCGCGCTGCGGTTACTAGGTGCGGCAGGTAGGCGCGCTGCGGTTACTAGGTGCGGCAGGTAGGCGCGCTGCGGTTACTAGGTGCGGCAGGTAGGCGCGCTGCGGTTACTAGGTGCGGCAGGTAGGCGCGCTGCGGTTACTAGGTGCGGCAGGTAGGCGCGCTGCGGTTACTAGGTGCGGCAGGTAGGCGCTCTGCGGTTACTAGGTGCGGCAGGTAGGCGCTCTGCGGTTACTAGGTGCGGCAGGTAGGCGCTCTGCGGTTACTAGGTGCGGCAGGTAGGCGCTCTGCGGTTACTAGGTGCGGCAGGTAGGCGCGCTGCGGTTACTAGGTGCGGCAGGTAGGCGCGCTGCGGTTACTAGGTGCGGCAGGTAGGCGCGCTGCGGTTACTAGGTGCGGCAGGTAGGCGCGCTGCGGTTACTAGGTGCGGCAGGTAGGCGCGCTGCGGTTACTAGGTGCGGCAGGTAGGCGCGCTGCGGTTACTAGGTGCGGCAGGTAGGCGCGCTGCGGTTACTAGGTGCGGCAGGTAGGCGCGCTGCGGTTACTAGGTGCGGCAGGTAGGTACTCTGCGGTTACTAGGTGCGGCAGGTAGGCGCGCTGCGGTTACTAGGTGCGGCAGGTAGGCGCTCTGCGGTTACTAGGTGCGGCAGGTAGGCGCTCTGCGGTTACTAGGTGCGGCAGGTAGGCGCTCTGCGGTTACTAGGTGCGGCAGGTAGGCGCTCTGCGGTTACTAGGTGCGGCAGGTAGGCGCGCTGCGGTTACTAGGTGCGGCAGGTAGGCGCGCTGCGGTTACTAGGTGCGGCAGGTAGGCGCGCTGCGGTTACTAGGTGCGGCAGGTAGGCGCGCTGCGGTTACTAGGTGCGGCAGGTAGGCGCGCTGCGGTTACTAGGTGCGGCAGGTAGGCGCGCTGCGGTTACTAGGTGCGGCAGGTAGGCGCGCTGCGGTTACTAGGTGCGGCAGGTAGGTACTCTGCGGTTACTAGGTGCGGCAGGTAGGTGCGCTGCGGTTACTAGGTGCGGCAGGTAGGCGCTCTGCGGTTACTAGGTGCGGCAGGTAGGTGCGCTGCGGTTATTAGGTGCAGCGTATCCTGTGTTTCCGTTACGTCAAGTGTGTTCGTCATGTTCTTTCTGTCTTCTATATCCTTACTGATTTTTGTTTGCTCGTTCTATCAATTGAAGAGAGATGTGTATTAAAATCTTCAGTTTTAATTGTGGATTTGTCTGTTTTTCTTTGAGTTCTGTCACTTTTGGCTGGTTGATTTTGAGGTCATGTTATTGAAGGTGGATCCACATTTAAAGCGGTTATACTTTCCAGATGAATTGGGCCTTTTATCATTATGAAATATTCCTGATTGTTTGAGGGAATGATTTTTTGCCTTAGAGTTTATCTTAGCTGATTCTAATCTCTTTTTTAAATTATATTTTAAAGTCTCTGCCTGTTTTATTTGTCGTAGTCTCCTGTTCATGATTATGGGGTAGGTTGCTGGAAGATGGATGGCAGTAGCTTGATTCCAGAGTTG